>NC_000006.12:15060000-15211515 GCF_000001405.40 Homo sapiens
GTAGTCTCAGCTACTTGGGAGGCTGAGGCAGGGAGAATTGCTTGAACCTGGGAGGCTGAGGTTGCAATGAGCCAAGATCATGCCACTGCACTCCAGCCTAGGTGACACAGTGATACTCTGTCTCAAAAAAATAAATAAATAAATAAAATAAAATAAGACCAATGGCATTTGTATTAATTTCCTAGAGTTAGCCAGGCGCAGTGGCTCACGCCTGTAATCCCTGCACTTTGGGAGGCCGAGGCAGGTGGATCACCTGAGGTCAGGAGTTCGAGACCAGCCTGGCCAACATGATGAAACCCCGTCTCTACTACAAATACAAAAAATTAGCTGGGAGTTGTGGCACACACCTGTAATCCTAGCTACTCGGGAGGCTGAGGCAGGAAAATCGGTTGAACTCGGGAGGCGGAGGTTGCAGTGAGCCAAGACTGCACCATTGCACTTCAGCCTGGGCAACAAGAGCAAAAAAACTCTGTCTCAAAAAAAAAAAAAATTCCTAGGATTATCACAGAAATTACCTCGAATTTAAATCTATTCCCACAGTTCAGGAGGCCAGGAAGTCCAAAATCAAGGTGACAGGAAGGTTGGTTCCTTCTGGAGGCTTTGATAGAGAATCCATTCCATGCCTGTCTCCTAACTTCTGGTAGGTATTGGCAGTCAGTGTTTTGACTTGTAGCTGCCTCACTCCAATCCCTGCCTTTGTGTTCACATTGTATTCTTATTTATGTGTCCTTTTGTCTTCTGTCTCTCTCTTTTTTTTTTCTTTCTTTCTTTCTTTCTTTTTTTTTTTTTTTTTTTTTTGAGGTGGAATCTCACTCTGTCACCCAGGCAGGAGTGCAGTGGCACGATCCCAGCTCACTGCAACCTCTGCCTCCCAGGTTCAAGCAATTCTCCTGCCTCAGCCTCCCAAGTAGCTGGGATTACAGGTGCCCACCACCATGCCCAGCTAACTTTTGTATTTTTAGTAGAGACAGGGTTTCGCCATGTTGGCAAGACTGGTCTCAAACTCCTGACCTCAAGAGATCTGCCCACCTCAGCCTCCCAGAATGCTGGGATTACAGGCATGAGCCACCACACCCAGCCATCCATGGTTCTTTATTGGAAGCTGATGATAACTCTTATGTCCTAAAATTTAACCCACATGAGATTTACCATTCCCATTACATAGATATGATCCATTTTAAAACACAAACAAAAAATAGGGAACTGAGAAAATATTAAGAGATGATAGAAGACATATCAGCGGCATTTATTCAGCTAACAATTACTTAGCACTCTTGGGGGCCAAGAATTGTGCCACATGCCAGTCAAAAAACAAGAGACTTAGAGCCTGCCCTGGAGGAAGTCACAGTGAAATGAGAGAAGTGCCCTCAGGTGCCTGCAAAGGCATAGAGAAAGGAGCAGTGAGTGCTCCCCAGGGAGGCCAAGGAGACCTTCCACAAAGCAGGTGACATTTGAGCTGAGTCCTGAAAGATGAATGGGAGCACACCCGGGAGGGAGCCCGGGAAGGGCATTTCAGGCAAAGGACAAAGCAGAACAGAGCTTCCAATGCTGGGCCAGGTTGCTAAATTCAGCAAACAGTGAGCAGTTTCCTTTTTTTTTTTTTTTTTTTTTCTTTTGAGACAGAGTCTCACTCTGTCGCCCAGGCTGGAGTGCAGTGGGCCAATCTTGGCTCACTGCAACCTCCACATCCCGGTTCAAGCAATTCTCGTGCCTCAGCCTCCTGAGTAGCTGGGATTACAGGCATGTGCCACCATGCCTGGCTAATTTTTGTATTTTTAGTAGAGATGGGGTTTCGCCATGTTGGCCAGGCTGGTCTCAAACTCCTGACCTTAGGTGATCTGCCCACATCGGCCTTCCAAATTCGTGGGATTACAGGTGTGAGGCACTGTGCCTGGCTGCCTTTTTTTTTTTTTTTTTTTTTTTGAGACAGGGTGTTATTCTGTTTCCCAGGCTGAGTGAAGTAGTGGCTCACTGTAGCCTCAACTTCCCAGGCTCAAGCGATCCTCCCACCTCGGCCTCCTGAGTAGCTGGGACCACAGGCATGCACCATCATGTCCTGTTATTTTTTGTAGAGATGGGGTCTCACTATGTTGCCCAGTCTGGTCTGAAACTGCTGGACTCAAGATCCTCCCACCTCAGCCTTCCAAATTATTGGGATTACAGACATGAGCCACCATGCCCAGCTTAGGACTCATTTTTATTCCATCAGTCTCTGCCCAAAAACTTTCAGTGATTTTTTGTTGTTTAAGACATGTAACCCAAACCCTTCATTTTATAATCCTGGCAGCCTGTCACCCAGCTCAAATCATGACTTCCCGGCACAAAGCTTGTGCTGCAGTCCATCTGTCTCCCTGATCCGTCCCTTATAGAAAGTGAACACCTGCTCTTGCCACAGCTGTCACATGGAGGGACTCCGCCCAGGCCCCTCAGTCTACAAAATTCCAACCGTTCTTGAGAACTTGCTCATTTGCCACACTTCCCTAAGCTGAACATCTAAAGGTAATTCTTCAGGGTCAAAAACTGGGCCTTCCCATATTAAGAGGCATCCCAAGAATGATGACATCACATGTCCTTCTAAGGAATCGAACACTAGCGATTGTGAACTCCAGCAAGAAGATGTTTTGTCTTTGAGATGAGTAATGAGGAGAAAATGGCGTGACGATGGCATTACACGGATAAGGGTCTATTATTCCTTATCCACAATGCTGAAATTCAAGAAGCTCCCCAAACCACAACTTACTACATAACTCATTGCATGTCAAGGCCTGACCTGGCCTGAACTGACATGAGCCTATTTATAGACATTGTCTCATTCCATGTGCATATCTATCCTTTGGCTTCAGAAATAGTAAGATGCTTGATTGCACAATACTGCAGGAGAGTCCACCAGCAGTGGTAGGTAACACCCTGAGTCCTGAAAGCCATGTGGCTCCAAGGATTTCAGATATGGAACTATGGGCCTGTGGTGACTATGATCCTGGTTTTAATGCTCATGTTCATGTTCATGTTCCCCAGCGCTGCATTTATTCTTAGCTTGAGCTTATTTGTGGGATCAGCCTGATTATGGTCGCTGAAAAATCTTTGTCAGAGGCAGTTGGGATAACCAGCCGTGGGCAAATGAAACAAGAAAAGTCAACCAGAGACCAGAGGCTAGCATGTGGCCTAATTCCTCCCCTGGTCTCAATCTTATCACCATGGCCCATCAGAGGTGCTACCTCCTGGCCCTGCCTCACACACCTCCACCCCCAGACATCTTGGGTCTACAGATACTTTAAGAGCCCTGGAAGCACAATTGAAGCTTGCCGGGTGTGGTGGCTCATGCTTGTAATCCCAGCACTTTGGAAGGCAGAGGTGGGCCAATCATTTGAGCTTAGGAGTTTGAGACCAGCCTGGACAACATGGCGAAACTCCATCACCATGAAAAATACAAAAATTAGCTAGGTACAGTGGCATGAGCCTGTAGTCCCAGCTACTTGGAAGGCTGAGGTTGGAGGATCCATTGAGCCTCAGAGGCAGAGGTTGCAGTGAGTCGAGATGGTGCCATTGCACTCCAGCCTGGGTGGCATGAGTGAAACCCTGTCTCAACACACACACACACGCGCATGCACGCACTTCCCTTTTTTAGAGACAGGATCTCATTCACTCAGTCACCCAGACTGGAATGCAGTGCTGCAATAATAGCTCACTGCAGCCTTGAACTCCTGGGCTCAAGTGACCTCAGCTTCCCAAAGTGCTGGGATTACAGGCATAAGCCACCCCACCCAGCCTACATGTGGGGTTTTGGAAGGCAGATCTGGGCCTGTCCACCAACTCTTCTACCAATAAGATGCACGCCTGGGAACAATCTAACTCATTCTCACTTGCCTCATCATTTAAATGGTTATAATTATAATAATTGCTTCTGACATTACTTTTCAGGGTCAAATAATAGAATCAATATGGTAGTTCCATGTAAGTAGTAAGATGATATACAAATGTCATAGTATTTTTATTATTTTTTATGAGCCCATATAGAGAAGAGATATTATTTTTTAAGGTCAGAATATCACTTATACTGGAATACTTATTTGTTAGGATAATACTTCTCAAATATACTTTCTTTTTTTCTTTCTTTTTTTGGAGAAAGAGTCAGAGTCACCCACCCAGGCTGGAATGCAGTGGCGCAATCCAGGCTCACTGCAACCTTCAGCTCCTGGGTTCAAGTGATTCTCCTGCTTCAGCCTCCTGAGTAGCTGGGATTACAGGCAAGCGCTACCACACCAGGCTAATTATTTTGTATTTTTAGTGGAGACAGAGTCTCACCATGTTGCCCAGGCTGGTCTTGAACTCCTGCACTCAAGCAACCCACCCACCTCTGCCTCCCAAAGTCCTGGGATTACAGGCATGAGCCACTGAGTCCAGCCCTTACTTATTTTTTTTATATTTAAAATAAAAATTTTTTCAATATAGAGACAGGGTCTCCCTATGTTGCCCAGGCTGGTCTCAAACTCCTGGGCTCAAGCAATCCTCCCACCTCAGCCTCCCAAATTGCTTGGATTCCAGGCATGAGCCACCACACGCAGCTGCAAATTTATTATCACGTTATTGTTTCAAAAGATACTCCGCTATTAAAATTGAGCAGTCAGAGTCTTTTTTCACTTTTCAGGAAAAAATAAAATCAATGACAGAATTTTCTAAGATTTGGCTGGGCGCGGTGGCTCACGCCTGTAATCCCAGCACTTTGGGAGGCCGAGGCAGGCGGATCACGAGGTCAGGAGATCGAGACCATCCAGGCTAACACAGTGAAACCCCGTCTCTACTAAAAATACAAAAAATTAGCCGGGTGTGGTGGTGGGCGCCTGTTGTCCCAGCTACTTGGGAGGCTGAGGCAGGAGAATGGCGTGAACCCCGGAGGCGGAGCTTGCTTGCAGTGAGCCAAGATTGCGCCACTGCACTCCAGCCTGGGCAAAAGAGTGAGACTCCGCCTCAAAAAAAAAAAAAAAAGAATTTTCTAAGATTTACCAGCATTTACCAGATTTACCAGAATTTTCTAGATTTACCGTCAGTTAGGTTTTTCTATTGGGGTTGGATTCCACTTGTCTTTTAAGAAACATATAAGTCGGATGAGATTTGATAAAATTATTAAGTACTTGGCCAGGTGTGAGCCCATTCACTATCAACTGTCACGAGAACAGCATGAGGGTGACCTCCCCCATGATCCAATCACCTCCCACCAGGTCCCTTCCTCGACACGTGGGTTTTACAATTCAAGATGAGATTTGGGTGAGGACACAAAGCCAAACCATATCACAAGCATTTGCAATAAAATTCCAACTAAAACAGAGACACTGAAATCTACAGGTAAAGGTCTTTCTTCTGTGAGTGCCAAGAAAGTAGGGTTCTGCAATTCTTGGGTGGATTTAGGAAATGCTTCATGGAAAAAAAATGACACCAAGGCCAAGTCTTAGAAAATGTGAGCAAGACAATTCACCTATTTCCCCATTTCAGGAGTTCACTATGGCAGGGTGACGCTAGGGCTTGGATGGACCCAATGAGATGTTCTTGAACACCAGATTTAGCTTTAAAATTCAAGGTTTCCTGAGTAGAAATCCCATTAGGGTAGAGCCCAGCAGTCTGAGTTATAGCCGGACTGTAACAGAGAGTGGATGGAGAAAGATTAATTAAGGCAGTTGGGTTTGAAAGGACAAATGAATCTGACATAGCAACATGACAAATGTGTGTGAGCCCAACACTAATTAGCAATAAAAAAAAATACTTATCTTCTAAATACACAAAGCACATATTTTCAGTGACAACTCATTCTACTCCTAATCCCCACATAAACATGTAGGTCAAAGAATGCCTGGGTCAAATTGGTGCTTTCATCCCCTGCATCCACATGGGCGTCACCAACCAGCCCTCGAGTGAGGGGAAGATAGTCCATCTGGGCCCATTTGGAGAAAATGCTCATTTGCCAAAAGGCAGATTTACTCTAAGGACCACCCCTCCACTCATAAAGCTCTCTGCAAATGTGCAAAGAATTTAAAGGCAAGCTAGTATTTATATACTTACTCCTCTGCATTTTTGCCCTTTCAATTTTAAGGTAGAATGGCTTGTTTCATCCCTCTTTTGGAGACCAAAGAGTTTATACTTAATCTGGACTGAACTAAACAGGCCTTCTTCTGGGAAAAGGGCTGAGGGAGTCCCCAGCTCTGGGTCTATTCAATCAGTTAATGAATTAATTATTCAGGGATTCTTCTCTGTCACTGTGAGGTTGTGTGTGTTGGTTCTTCCTCAGGAAGGACCTCCCTTACCACCTTAACACAGTCAATAACCCCTCGCCCACATTCTCTGCTCCTAATCCTGTTTTATTTTTCTTCATAGCATTTATCATTTCCTAACTTTATAGTGTAAATATATTTTTTTGATTCCTATCTTCTCCTCTATTATGAAAGCTCCCGTTGATGGAGACTTTGAGAGTTTTATTTAATTCTGTCAACCCAGTGCATAGAATAATGCTTGGCACGTGATAGGCACTCAATAAATACTTGCAAAATGAGTGAGTGAATGAACGAACGAATGAATGAAGTCGAATAAATGAGGCTGAGACTGCTTAAAGATCATCCCAGGCCAATCCCCTCACTGTTGAGAACTAAGTGCAATGGTGGTCTCCTAAAGGAGGTTCTTCTGGGAGGATCCACCCCTCATTGTGTGGGGAGGTACTAGCCCACGGCTAGAGTGTCAGATAAACATAAGAAAAATTAAATAGAGGGTGAAGCTCTCAGCGGCTTGGAAGAGTGTCCTATAAATAGGGAGGAGGAAGAAGGCCTTGGAGGGTAGGGATGACTCAGCCAGCTTTGTCAGGACATGATTTTCAACTTTCCACCCACGGACACTTTGGGTTGGTTAGAGAATTATTGCTAAATCCTGACAACGTGTGCCTACAGTGTGATTTCTGTTCTCTTTCTCTCCGTTCCCCTCTCACTGACCCTTTTCTCTCAACCGCCATGCGCAATGTTTCTGGGAAGTCTGTGAGGAATCCGCCATCAAGAACCTGTAAGCTGCTGCAGTTAAACTTTGAATGCGGTCCGTTCCCAGCGTCATTTCCCCTTCCCTTTCCTGCAGGCCCTGGTCTCTGTTGGTCATTGAGGGTCAACGCCAGGACTGAGGTATATGATACAGAGGAAGCCGATCAGCCTATTCCTTTCCCCTAGCCAGAGACTGGATTAGGTCAACAAGCAGACATTGCTGGGGACTTCAGGAAGGAAGTTTCCTAGTCTTTGAGTGACTCCTTTGTCAACACATATCAACAGGGAGCATGTAGTCCAGGAGTTACCGGCAGCCATCTTGTGACCCTGAGATGAGCGGGGATGGAGCAGAGCCACCAAAGGCAGAGAGGAGAGAATGAGAGAAACAGGATCTTCGGAGACATCCCTGAGCTACAAGAAGCCTGCCCTAGCTCTGGGTTTTCCAGTAGATGCAAGCCAATATATTCCACCCATCCATTCATTCATTCATTCATTCATTTCTTTCTTTAGAGAGGGAGTCTCACTCTCCTGCCCAGGCTGGAGTGCAGTGGCGCGATCTCGGCTCACTGCAAGTTCTTCTCCTCGGTTCAAGCGATTCTCCTGCCTCAGCCTCCTGAGTAGCTGGGATTACAGGCTCCCGCCACCATGCCCAGCTAATTTTTTTGTATTTTTTTGTATTTTTTTTTTTTTTGAGACAGAGTCTCGCTCTGTCGCCCAGGCTGGAGTGCAGTGGAGCGATCTCGGCTCACTGCAAGCTCCACCTCCCGGGTTCACACCATTCTCCTGCCTCAGCCTCCCGAGTAGCTGGGACTATAGGTGCCCGACACCGTGCCCAGATAATTTTTTTGTATTTTTAGTAGAGACGGGGTTTCACCGTGTTAGCCAGGATGGTCTTGATCTCCTGACCTCGTGATCCGCCCGTCTCGGCCCCCCAAAGTGCTGGGATTACAGGCATGAGCCACCGTGCCCGGCCCCATTTTTCTGTATTTTTAATAGAGATGGGGATTCACTGTGTTAGCCAGGATGGTCTCGATCTCCTGACCTCATGATCCACCAGCCTTGGCCTCCCAAAGTGCTGGGATTATAGGCATGAGCCACTGCGCCCAGCTCATTCATTTCTTTATTTAGCAACAGATTCTTGCTCAGTCGCCCAGGCTGGAATGCAGCGATGTCGGCTCACTGCAGCCTCCACCTCCTGGGTTCAAGCAGTTCTCCCACCTCAGCTGCCCCAGTAGCTGGGACTACAGGCATACACCACCACGCCTGGCTAATTTTTGTATTTTTAGTAGAGATGGGGTTTCACCATGTTGGCCAGGTTGGTCTTGAACTCCTGGCCTCAGGTGATGCGCCTGCTTTGGCCTCCCAAAGTGTTGGAATTACAGGCTTGAGCCACCGTGCCTGTTTATGTTCCATTTATTGTGTAAATCAATTTGAGCTGTTGTTAAAACTGAAAGCTGCCTAACTGATACACTGGTTCTGATTCTTTTTCCCAACTTAAGGTGAATTAAAGGAGTTTGTCTCTTTTTTGTTAAGTTTAATATATTTCATTTCAAATGTCACTATATATATTTGAGGCCACATTGGAAATATGGACTCTAATAGTACAATACCCCCTTGTTGAGCCAACTTTAAATTACATTAACTTTTGCAATTCACCAATAAATCATAGCAGAGGATCATGAGACTACAGATCTGCCACTTTCACTTTTAACCATGTAAAATTAGGAAATTTTATTAATAAAAGGTATTTGTGAAAAATCATACATGCATAAAGAGTCTTATTATGATATAACAGTGAATACATAATTCTAGCAATCACCAGAATATAACAAAAATTGCATAGTGAAAATAAAATTCACCGTAACACTACCAAAAAAAGGTTATGGGCTCAGTTAGATTCCTGGAGCATTGGAGACAGTCAGAATTTACTTAGGGTTGGTCTCACTCCTGAAAACCTCAGGAAATGCTGGAGACGGTGCCTGGGGTTCATTTTTACTGTGCCGAGTTGTGTCCCTACCCTGATGAGCTGTAAGTTCCATTATTGAGATCTGTCTCATAAAATGACACTTGGTTTTTTTTTTTTGGTTTTGTTTGTTTGTTTGTTTGTTTGTTTTTTCTTTTTTCTTTTTTCTTTTTTTTTTTTTTTGAGATAGTCTCACTCTGTCGCCCAGGCTGGAGTGCAGTAGCACGATCTCAGCTCACTGCAACCTGCAACTTCTGCCTCCTGGGTTCAAGCGATTCTCCTGCTTTGGCTTCCCAAGTAGCTGGGATTGCAGGCGTGCACCATCATGCCCAACTAATTTTTGTAGTTTTAGAAGAGATGAGGTTTTACCATGTTGGCCAGGCTGGTCTTGAACTCTTGGCCTCAAGCAATCTGCCCACCTTGGTCTCTCAAAGAGTGCTGGGATTACAGGTGTGGCCCACCACACCCGGCCTTGGCTTTGGTTTTGGTTTTGACCATGCCACAGCGGTAGTGGCTGTGGGGTGGAGAGGATGCCTGATTTTTAATTCTTATGAAGGTGCTTTCTTGTGTGGATAGTTCTGCAATCTGGTATTCCTGCAAGGGCAGTGGGGGTGATTGCTGGAGGGATCTATTTGGCTATCTTGCTCCACCTCCCTTAGAGGAGTTTGTCTTAATAAATAAACCCAGGAGAAGATAAACATTGTTTGATTTTCCCAGATTTTATTGTGGATAAACTATTTTAATTTAATTATGGAATGAAATCTTGTATACTTGCATATTAGGGAATCAGAAAGAGATCTGGAGCTTTGAAACTAAAACGCTTCACTCGTAAACTGACAATCAGATATCTTAGACCAAAATCTTCTTCAATATTAATTGGTACTTACAAAATATCCTTTGAAAAAGGCTATATAGAGAAGCTGAATGTGTCTAGCGATTAAGACAGCATTTATTTATACTCTTATACTAGTTTACATATACTCTTATACTGGTTGAAATGTTTCTAATTGATTAGACACGTGGAATATTTGAGAGAGAACAGACATCAGGCAATGAGGTACAGCAGTTAAGAACAAGGTTAACTTGCCCAAGTTCTATCTTAACTTCATTTTCGTAGGTCTTGTTGGTGCTGATATGATTTGGGTCTGTGTCGCCACTCAAATCTTTTGTCAAATTGTAATCCTCGATGTTGGAGGAGAGGCCTGGTGGGAGGTGACTGGATCATGGGGGCATGGATTTCCCCCTTGCTGCTCTCGCCATAGTGAGTGA
Source organism: Homo sapiens (assembly GCF_000001405.40). Lineage (NCBI taxonomy): Eukaryota > Metazoa > Chordata > Mammalia > Primates > Hominidae > Homo > Homo sapiens. The sequence continues at coordinate 15,070,240 of NC_000006.12, forward strand.
GTTCTCATGAGATCTGGTTGTTTAAAAGTGTGTAGCACCTCCCGCCTCTCTCTTCCTCCTGTTCTGGCCAGTGAAGATGTGCCTGCTTCCCTTTCCCTTTCTGCCATGATTGTGAATGTAAATTTCCTTGAAGCCTCCCCAGCCATGCTTTCTGTACAGCCTGTGGCACCATGAGCCAATTAAACCTCTTTTCTTTATACATTACCCAGTCTCAGGTATTTCTTTATAGCAGTGTGAGAAAGGACTAATACAGTGGCCTACCCAACATTCATCTCCCTCCTTCCTCTCTCCTAGTGAAGCCCTGATTTCGTTCTCCTCCATGCCACTAGAGAAAGCTATTTCTCTAGTGCCAGGAATGAGTCTTGATTTATCTAAACCAATCAAAGCAGGCTTATCCTCCTCTTCAGCTATTGAAATGTGAGACATATCAGTCCAGGAAGACACATACAGGGGGATTTTCCCAAGAGTTTCTAGGACAGTTCCTCTAAGAGAATTTCCAGAAGTAATTCCCTCTCTTAGGCTTACCATGGAAAAGAAAGCAAAGAACTTTGACTACTGTTGACAGCCACTCCTCAACCATGAGGAGAGCTAGGCTTAGGATGCAGTCCACACTGCCTATGGCAGAGCAGAAAGATGGAAAGAGCCTGAAGTCCTTCTTATAGACCAACTATCCACCAACTTTAAAGCCTATTCTGCCTTTGGATTTCCTGTGAGCTATGTGAGCCAATAAACGTCCTTCTCATTTAAGCCAGTTTGAGTTGGGTTTTCCATTACTTGCAGCCAAAAACAACCTCACTGTTAGGCTCTTTAAATCCTATCTCTTAGGTATGTTGGGAGGAATAAATTTGATATGAAGTGCTTAGCATAATGCCTGCATCATATAAGTGCTTAATCAATGCTTAATCAATGGGCACTATGATTATCTAACCACTCATGTTATAGATTATTTGCCCAAGTTAACATAGACTTCCTCTGAATGGTCTGTGGATTAGTCTAAATGCATCAAACCAGAGAGAAGGCCAGGGCAAAAGTCAGGTCATTGAGTCAGGAAGGCTGATGACACAAGGACCAAGATCCGAGAGGCAGAAAAATGTCAAAGCCGGAACAAAAGGCTAGTTAGACAGGGCTGGAAGCAGACACCTTGAAGGTGGAGCAGGGATGGGCCAGGGTGGATCTCCCAGTCACCGGGCTCCCACATGGCAATTTCACCCCATCCTGATAGGCCCAGGCTGGAGTCCTAAATGAAAGACCGTGTGACACAGCATGTTAGTAGCAGAATCTAGTTAAGCACTGAGATCTTACTCAGTCCAGCACCCTTTCCACTACACCAAATTTAATTCCATTGCATGGGCGTTTGTTTTTATTACATTCAGAGGACTCCTAAGTTACCTGAAATCACAGAATGTAAGAGGCAAAGTACTCACTCCCCACTTCAAAGTAAGTTTAGTGGCTATCCTTGGGTAGAGGGAGACGAGCTGTGACTTTACTATCTACTTTGTGTGTATTAGGGTTGAAGTCTTTACAAAGCATGATGTTTCTTTTTATATATGAAGGAAACTGGACCTTTTATTTAATAAGCCTTCAGTTGTCCCTGCTCCTGCCCCTTCTAATCAGGACAAGTGGTTGATTGATGAAGAGCTACTCCTTTTTTCATACACACACACACACACTCATACACACACACATGCACACACGCAAATACAGATTTTCTGTCCAAAGCCCAGGCAGCATTTCTAGATGTGGCCCTTTGGGAGTAACATGCTTTCCCAGTCCTTCCACCTCCATATACTTTTCCTCACCCTCCTGGACAGCCAGAGCACTCTAGAGCAGATATGCAAAAAGTCAGCTCAAATAGACCAAGTAGTGCCGAACTGTCCCAAAGCACACGCACCACGGGAGGGTGACCCTGCTGCTCCAGAAGAAACATGCTCATCTCTCTCTGCGCTCCTTCTTCTGTTGAACAGGGCCCTGGGTGCACTCCACTCACTGACATTATGGCCACAGGGCCAGCCCTGTTCACTATGGGGATGTTGGAGGGCAGGTGGTCTTGTATCCCTATCCTGGGCCCTTTTCCTCGACTGATGGGACATTTTCCCACCTGTCTGCTCCCATCAACACACCGTCCTACTTGGTATTTCCTGGCCTCCCCCATTTTCCTCTCAGCTTTTCATGCCCTGCTTTCTGGAAAGAACCTAATGTGTTCAATCCCACAGAGCTGCAAATGGTAAATCAGAAGGAAAGTAGCGAGAACAAATTGTATACCTTGGCACTGAGTGTCTCTGGGGGAAAAATACAAGCAGACCCAGTCACCAACCACAGTACGAGATTGTGATGGGAATCACGCAAGTTTCCTGACACACACAGTGTCTTAATATCTACCAGTAAGACTCATTCCCAGATCTTGGTGGCACGCTGGTGACAGAAAGTCTCCCTAGAAAGGTCACATATAAGCTGTCTCATACGAACCCTAAGAAATAATCCTGGAGTCTAGGATTTTTGTGAGGGTTAACTGAGATAATGCATGGAAAAAAAAAAAAAAAAAAAAACAAAACAGAATGAAACCAGAATGTCCCAAAGCAAGCTACCCAAAGTCAAGTTCATATTTTCATCCCCCAGCCAACTGGGTAATTCTCCTGGTTTGGTTTGGCCTCCCAAAGTGCTAAGAGGATTATAGGCATGAGCCACCGTGCCCAGCCCCTGAGAACATTTTTAATAGCCAGAAGCCATATCTTTAGCACCATTTTGCTTTCAGAAGTAACCCAAATTGAAACATTAGTTACTTACACACAAGTTTCTATCTCTTTTCTTTTTTTTGAGATGGAGTCTCACTCTGTTGCCTAGGCTAGAGTGCAGTGGCATGATCTCAGCTCACTGCAGCCTCTGCCTCCTGGGTTCCAGCAATTCTCCTGCCTCAGCCTCCAGAGTAGCTGTGATAACAGGCACGCACCACCATGCCTGGCTAATTTCTATGTTTTTAGTGGAGGCGGGGTTTCACCATGTTGGCCCCGCTGGTCTCGAACTCTTGACCTCAGGTGATTTGCCCACCTCGGCCTCCCAAAGTGCTAGGATTACAGGCATGAGCCACCACACCCAGCCTCTGTATCTTTTTTCAATGTAAATACACGGGGAAGCAGAAACCCTTGGTTGGTCTGAGTCAACTGGGCAGCTCGCTGACAAAGAAAGCTTTATTTCCTGGGTTAATGGTACCAACCCCTCCCAGCAATGGGAAGATGCCAGTTGGGGAGGGCATTCCCCACAGGCAAAGCCTCAGGCGCTATTTTGAGCAGGCCTTCTAGAGGCTGAGTCTAGACTTGAGGTTGCTGAAGGTTTCTGCTTATTCTGAAAGATGATCTAACCTAAGATAAATGCCAGGTATCTGTGGTCCAAATTTCCCCACTGTGCTTTCTCTGCCTAGAACCAGCCAGGGGATGCTGATGGTTCAGTGACTGTAGAAAAGCCAGCTTTAAGACTCTTAATTACTAGTTTAAATAACATGGTACAACTGGCTTTGGTAACATGATATATTTTATTGGGTTTGTTCATACACATGACAAACAGAAGCTGAGGTTTATGTGCCTAAAAGATACCTATTTTAGGCCCTGTGATTTGGAATTATTGGGGGACGGGGGCAGGGGGACAGTAGTGGCTTTCTAATGTCCACCCTTCAAGGCCTGAGGGTGGCTGACAGGCACAGCAAAGATGTTTCCATGCCGGAGCCTGCCAGGTCATCCAGTGTGTTGGGATTTTCACTAATTCGTACCAAACCTGCCCGTGTCCCCATGCTAATTTATGGGACTAACCTGTGATGAGTTTGGGTGTCCCATAATAAAATGTCACGTGATGATATACGAGGGAAAATAACGACTTGTGATTTTTGATATTCAGAAACACTTATCCTTTCCCGAAACAGGAAGACGGCTGTGCTTTCCTACAGCTCTGGAGCCGCCGGGTTTCTAAGCTCTTTTGTGCCTTTGAACATTTTTGTCTGAGAACTTGGCAGCAGAAGGCCTGGCTTCAATGGGAGAACCTGGGAGCCCAAGTGCACAGACTTCCCGAAACAGGGAAACAAAGAGAGCTGAGGCCTACACGGCTTGGCTGGCTTTCTACATCAATGGAGGTGTTTGCGGGCTGATCGAAAGGGCAATGGAAAAACCTCAGACCCTGGAGTGCCAGCTTCCTAGGGCTGCTGTAACAAAGTACCAAAACTGGGTGCTTTAAAGCTATAGGAAATCATTCTATCACAGTTCTGAAAATAAGAAGTCGGAAATCAAGGTGTCGGCAGGGCTCCTCGCGTTCTGAAGGCTCTAAGCCGGCGGTCCCCAACCTTTTTGGCACCAGCGACCAGTTTTGTGGGAGATAATTTTTCCACAGATGGAGGGTGGGGGTCGTTTCAGGAGGATTGAAGCACATTACATTTATTGTGCACGTTATTTCTATTATTATTACGTTGTAATATAATATATAATGAAATAATTATATGACTCATCATAATGTAGAATCAGTGGGAGCCCTGAGCTTGTTTTCCTGCAACTAGATGGTCCCATCTGGTGGGGGTGAGAGACAGTGACAGGTCATCAGGCATTAGATTCTCATAAGGAACACGCAACCTAGATCCCTCACATGCACCGTTCACAATAGGGTTCACACTCATAGAGTACCCAGTGCTGCCACTGATCTGACAGGAGGTAGAGCTCAGGCGGTAACATGGGCCATGGGGAGCAGCTGTAAATACAGATGAAGCTTCGCTCCACCGCCCGCCGCTCACCTCCTGCTGTGTGGCCCAGTTCCTAATAGGCCATGGACCAGGGCTTGGGGACCCCTGCTCCATGCCTTTCCCTTGCCCCCTGGTGTTGCTGGCCATCCTTCACCGTGCCTGGCTTGTGACACGTGGCTCCCAGCTCTGTCTCTGTTGTCACACGGCCTTCTCCTTGTGTGTTTTCACATTGTCTTCCCTCTGTGCCCATCCCTTCCCATGTCTCTTCTTATAAGGACACCAGATGCTTTGGACTAGGGGACCCATCCACATTAGTATGACTTCATCTTACCTGATTACTACTGCAACAACCCTATTTCCAAATAAGGTCACATTCTGAGTTACTGGGGGTCAAGACTATGTCTTAGTCTGCTCAGGCTGCCATAACAAAATACCATAGGCCAGGTGGTTTAAACAACAGAAGTTTGTTTTCTCACAGTTCTGGAGGCTGGGAAGCCTAAGATCAAGGTGTCAGCAGGGTCAATTTCAGAGAGAGCAAGAGAGCATGAGAAAGAATGCTCAGACGTCTCTTCTTACAAGAGCACTGCTCTGGCCAGGCTCAGTGGCTCACGCCTGTAATCCCAGCACTTTGGGAGGCTGAGGTGGAAGGATTACTCGAGGTCAGGAGTTCAAGACCAGCCTGGCCAACATGGGGAAATCCCATCTCTACTAAAAGTGCAAAAATTAGCTGGGTGTGGTGGCGGGCGCCTGTAATCCCAGCTACTCGGGAGGCTGAGGCAGGAGAATCGCTTGGACCCGGGAGGAGAAGGTTACAATGAGCCAAGATCGCACCACTGCACTCCAGCCTGGGTGACAGAGTGAAACTCCATCTCAAAACAAAACAAAAACAAGGGCACTGCTCCCGGCATGAGGGCCGCACCCTTATGACCTCATCTAAGCCTAATTATCTCCCAAAGGCCCCACCTCCAAATTACAACACGCTGGGGGTTAAGGCTTCAATGTGGGAATTTTGGGGGGACGCAAACATTTGGTTCATAACAGACTTCAACATATCTTTTGAGGGACAGCCACCCACCCACCCAAGAAGATACAGGGCAGTCAACAGGGACAGAGGTGCCAGGTCTACCAGCTACATCCTCCAGTGACAGGAAACAGTGGGAGGAGAGACCCAACTGTTCCCACAGGATTAGACACCCCCAAATTAGTCCTCTAATGACTTGGCCATTTGATACTGAAATTTGCATGAGGCACTTCCCAAACAACCTTCACACAGGCGGAGAGGGTTAGTCAGGGTGGTCATTTGCCCTCCTCCCTTAGAAAACAAAAGCTGGCTAGTTAGCAGAGAGCTCTCTTGGGGGTAATGCTGGCCAGGCCAGGAAGTGGTCCTAAAAGCCAGCACAGTTCCCAGATTGGAAAAAGCCTGGGAGGGCACAGTCCAGCTGGGACTCAGCCTAACTGATGTCTCTCCTCGGCTCCCACATCAGGGCCACAGACAGGTTTAACAGGAACCGTCCTTTGCCCACTCATGTTGTTCATGCACGTACTGTCTGTGGAGGGGACACCCACGTTTCTACTTCTTAATGGCGGTCCCTGTCCTTTACCCCAGCCCCCCAGATCACATGACAAGGCTGAAGGCTGACAGCCTTCTCCAAAAACGGGCTCCTTTGGCACCGTCTCCTCTGCAGCCCTTTACTGCCCTTCCTTCCCCACACGGTCCTCAGTTTGGAAACACTGTGTTCTACCACTATTAATAATACATAGAGAGAGAGCCCATCTCCAAGGAGCTCCAAGGGCTTCACAGGCATTATCTAATTAGCCCTCACCACATCCCAGTGAGGCTTAGCAAAAGCCCTTCTCCAGCAAAACCATAAGGGAAAACTGCATGCAGGGTCAGAGCTGCTAAGAGACAGAGGTATCATCAGGTTGTCTGGGAGGGCAGAGGCCCCAGCACTTACCCTGGAGGTAGGGGAAGATCATTTGAGCACAGGAGTTCGAATCCAACCTGGGCAACATAGTGAGACACTATCTAAAAAAAAAAATTTTTTTTTTTTAAGATTCCTTGCTTAGAGATTCATAGCTAGTAAATTTCAATCACACTCCATCCTAGATGTTCTGACTCAGAGATAGTGGTCTTTCCAGTTCACCAGAGCTACTCCATTCTCTTGTAATGATTTCAGAAGCATAGCCACGACTATTTGCTGATTAGCAGCCATTCTTGCTGTGTTAGACATCATTGCTGGTCACTGATACAGCTCCCCTCTCCTTCCAGGCATGCAGAGGTCTGATTTTCTGCCCCACTTAAAGTCAGGCGTGGCGTCTCACTTGCTTGCACCAATGAAATGTGGGCAGAACTCATGTGTGTCACTTCCAGGTAGAAACATTTGACTGCTGGTCTCTCCAGCTTTCTTCCCCTGCCATGCAGTAATAGTGAAAGCTTATATTGAGACGGAACCTCTGGCAGTCTGGTGCCCGGAGTGACACCATGAACTGAGCTTTCCTGTTGACCAGCATCAAAGATGAGCTAGAAGTGTCTATACGGTTTTAAACCACTGAGATGTTGAATTTGTTTATTGCCACAGCATAACCTATTCTATCCTGATGGATACACTACCTAGAATTTCTTCATTCAGTCTCTTTTTGTTTGTTGAGACCCTGTCACCCAGGCTAGAGTGCAGTGACATGATCTCAGCTCATTGCAACCTCTGCCTCCTCGGTTCAAGAGATTCTCCTGCCTCAGCCTCTCAAGTAGCTGGGACTACAGGGACATGCCACTACGCCCAGCTAATTTTTGTTTTTTTAGTAGAGACGGGGTTTTGCCATGTTGGCCAGGCTGGTCTCGAACTCCTGATCTCAAATGATCTACCCACCCCGGGCCTCCCAAAGTGCTGTATTACATGCATGAGCCACCGCGTCCAACCCCTCATTCAGTCTTGAGTAGGAATAAATCTATCCTAGCTCTGAGGGATGGACCCTAATTGGCATATATCAATCAATTTAAAGTTACCTCCTCCTCTGCCGCAGTAATTGGTTCATGTATGGATAATAATCTAGACCCAAACCAATTAACTTGTAGTATTTGCTTCAGGGATGAGCCCATCAGTGACCAAGTACAAACTGTTGGCCGATTATGGAGAGCAGCGCTTTCTCCCCTTTCAGGGTAAGCCCCAGTTGCTGCAGGCGATGATCTTGCAGAGGAAGGAAGCCTGCTGAAAACAAAGGTGAACCACAGGTGGTGGAGGGGGGTGGGGGCAGTCTGCAAATTGTAGACACACAGAGCCCTGCCTGAAGCCCACAGTCAGTTGTGGACCTTTCAGAAAGGAACCAGTAATGGCCCTTAATTCTCTAAGCCAGACTGAAGTAAGATTTCCGTTACTTGAAATTTAATTTTTTATTTTATTTTATTTATTTTGAGACAGGGTCTTGCTCTGTCACTCAGCCTGGAGTGCAGTGGTACAATCGCTGCTCACTGTACCCTCAACCTCCCAGGCCCAAGCGATCCTCCTGTTTCAGCCTCCTGGGTAGCTGGGACAACAGGTGCGTGCCACCACACCTGGATAATTTTTGAATTTTTTGTAGAGATGGGGTTTCACCATGTTGCCCAGGCTGCTCTAGAACTCCTGGGCTCAAGTGATCTTCCCACGTCAGCCTCCCAAAGTGCTGGGGTCACAGGCATGAGCCTACTTGAAATTTTAAAAACAACCTGCCAGGCACTTCGGGAGGCTGAGGCAGGCGGATCACCTGAGGTCAGGAGTTTGAGACCAGACTGGCCAACATGGTGAAACCTCGTCTCCACTGAAAATACAAAAATTAGCCAGGCGTGGTGCTGGGCGCCTGTAATCCCAGCTACTCAGAAGGCTGAGGCAGGAGAATTGCTTTACTCCAGGAGGCAGAGGTTGCAGTGAGCCGAGATCGCACCACTGCACTCCAGCCTGAGCCACAGGGTGAGACTCGTTATCAAAAAAAAAAAAAAAAAAAAAAAAAAAAAAAAATTAGCCGGGCATGGTGGCAGGTGCCTGTAATCCCAGCTACTCAGGAGGCTGAGGAAGGAGAATCGCTTGAACCCGGGAGGCGGAGGTTGCAGTGAGCCCAGATGGTGCCACTGCACTCCACCCTGGGGGATAGAGCGAGACTCTGTCTCCAAAAATAAAAATAAAAAATAAAAACAACCTTAACTGATCATTTTAAACAACTCCTGCCTCGGAATACTAACCTGCTTGACATAGAGATATAAATCTGTATGTATTTCTACAATCAGTGCTCCATCTTTTTGGGGCTTGACATTTTGAATTTTGTTAGGTTGCAAATATTTGTGAGAAAGGCAACAGAAGTGAATTTTAGAGTCAGAAAGGAATTGTTAAAACATCCGATCTAACTGCCTCATTTTATAAATGAGGGACTCAGGAGCAGAAAGGTGAAGTCACTTACGCTGGGCAATAAGCATTCTGTTTCCTACTGACCTCCGACCCCACGGACTTAAATTGTGCTGTGTCAGAGTTGTCCTGGGCTTAAAAGGAGATAACATACATTGAGCTTCCAGCACACTGGCTGACATACTGTTGATAATCAACAATTGCTGCCTTGTTTTTATCAGTCACTCACATTTTAGTATAGAAGTGGAGGGCAGGGGGCTGATAAATAATGGACACTCTCCTCATGGGCTGTTATAGTGAAAGAACCCACCTTGAGCAGAGAAGCAGCCAGGACTTTGAGCTTGACCCATGACTGTCAGCAGAGGTGGGTGGGTTCGACTCCTGCGTGTGCCTGTGGCCACTCAGGGGTGAGTTGCCAAGCATATTTTGTATCTTGAGTTCATCCTCGCAAGAATTCAGCACTTGTAACTGTGCCCAGGAGTTACAAGTTACAAGGAGACCAGGAGCTCTGTAAGAAGCCGAGAAAGGTTTTTTTGCTGAAATTCTAAGAAACACAGGGGCACTAGCTGCCCAGATTGGGCACCCTACAAGAGGATAGAGCATGGAGGAGGCCAGGTACCTACCTCCACCTTCTCCACAGAGAGCGGCAAAGCATGGACACCCGGGGGCCTTGGCACCTTAGTGGCGACAAGGCAGAGCTGTCACTGAGTAAAGACAGGCTTGTGGGTAGTGGCTGGAGGACAAGAATGAGCCTTCTTAGAAATACCTAATGGAGGATTGGGTGCGGTGGCTTATGCCTGTAATCCCAGCACTTTGGGAGGCCGAGGCGGGTGGATCACCTGAGGTTGGGAGTTCGAGACCAGCCTGACCAACATGGAGAAACCCCGTCTCTACTAAAAATACAAAATTAGCCGGGCATGGTGGCACATGCTTGTAATCGCAGCTACTCGGGAGGCTGAGGCAGAAGAATCGCTTGAACCCGGGAGGCGGAAGTGGCGGTGAGCTGAGATCACACCATTGCACTCCAGCCTGGGCAACAAGAGCAAAACTCCATCTCAAAAAAAAAAAAAAAAAGGAAAAGAAATACCTAGTGGAGATTGCTTAGGGGACCAGTGGTCCCGGTGAACCTGCGAGGACAATGGCCCATGACATTTCAGTGGCTGCAGTAACAGAGATCCATGTCCACCACTGGCTACAAAAGCCTGGGAGACAGACACAGGCCACAGGGCACATACGATGACTGACTTAGATCCTTGCCCCAGCCCTGACCCAATAACCGCAGCAAGAACGCAGCATCTGGCCAAGCACAGTGGCTCACACCTGTAATCTCAGCACTTTGGGAGGCCAAGGCAAGTGGATCACTTGAGGTCAGGAGTTCAAAACCAGCCTGGCCAACATGGTGAAACCCCCATCTCTACTCAAAATACAAAAATTAGCCGGGCGTGGTAGTGCATGCCTATAATCCCAGCTACTCGGGAGGCAGGAGAATTGCTTTACAGGGGGTCGAGGTTGCAGTGAACCTAGATCATGCCACTGCACTCCAGCCTGGGCAACAGAGTGAGACTCCATCTCAAAAAAAAAAAAAAAAAAATTAAAGAATGGGGCATCTACCTCCCAGGAGCAAGCGGGAGACAGCCCAGAGGGAGGAGGAAGACTTAGTCAAAGGGAACCCCAGGCCACCAGAATCAACTGTGCTCATTTAGTGTTTTGTTGAAAGCCAGCCCTGGAGAATGCTTTTGTTTGTTTTGGGTTCTGGTGTTCTTAAGTCTTGCTTAAATGAGATAACAAATGTAAGCCACCCCACCCTGTCCTGACACAAAATGAACACAAAATAAATGGCAACTGTCTTTTCCTGCTTTTTTTTTTTTTTTTTTTTTTGGAGACAGGGTCTTGCTTTGTCACCCAGGCTGGAGTGCAGTGGCACAAACATGGCTCACTGCAGCCTCCACCTCCTGGACTCAAGCAATCCTCCCACCTCAGCCTTCCAAGTATCTAGGACCACGAGCATGCACCACCACAACCGGTTAATTTTTGCATTTTTTTGTAGAAATGATGTCTCACTTGGTTGCCCAGGCTGGTCTCAAACTCCTGGGCTCAAGCAATCCTCCCCGCTTGGTCTCCCAAAGTACTGGGATTACTGGTGTTAGCCACCAAGCCCAGCCTCCCTTGCTTTTTTTCAAAGCAGTGACTCTCACCTAAAATTCAGTTGGACCACATATATTCATCCAAAAAGCATAGGCTTCTGTGTAGATTTAGAAATTGCAAGATATGCCTTCATCTTATCAGCTGTACAGTTGTAGGTTATCTCCTGTTCTCTTTATTTATTAACTGGAGATAACACAACCCCTACTGTACCCTATGCACCCCACAGTGCTGTTTGCAAGGATTAAGTGAGATCATGGAAAGGGGAGGAGTTTTATCAGATGCTAAAGAACTGAACACCTTCAAAATTCTTATTATTCCAACGGTTCTCTTAAGTTGGTGATTAGAAGCTGACAAGCTCCTTCCAAATGAAGCCGTAGTCTCCTGACCTCACCACCTCAAAGAACAAGGCAGCAGCCCTCTCTTTCTCTAACATATTTATTTATTTATTTATTTAGAGACATGGTCTTGCCATGCCGCTCAGGCTGGTCTTGAAAGTCTGGCCTTAGGCTTGGCGTGGTGGCTCACGCCTGTAATCCCAGCACTTTCGGAGGCCGAGGCGGGTGGATCACGAGGTCAAGAGATCGAGACCATCCTGGCCAACATGGTGAAACCCCGTCTCTACTAAATATACAAAAAATTAGCCAGGCGTGGTGGCGGGAGCCTGTAGTCCTAGCTACTCGGGAGGCTGAGGCAGGAGAATGGCATGAACCCGGGAGGCGGAGCTTGCAGTGAGCCGAGATCGTGCCACTGCACTCCAGCCTGGGTGACAGAGCGAGACTCCGTCTCAAAAAAAAAAAAAAGAAAGTCTGGCCTCAAGTGCAGTGGTGTGATCATAGCTCACTGCAGCCTTGAATGTCTGTGCTCAAGCAATCCTCCCACCTCACCTTCCCAAATAGCGAAGACCACAGGCATGCGCCAACACGCCTGGCTAATTTTTAAATTTTTTCTTTTTGTACCAATGGGGGTCTCATCATGTTGCCCAGGCTGGTCTTGAACTCCTGGTCTCAAGCGATTCTTCAGCCTCAGTTTCCCAGAGTGCTGCAATTACAGTCAGGAGCCACCACGCCTGGCTACAAACACAGTTTTTTAAGAGACAAATTTATAAGATTTATCTGATCACCACTTTGCTCAAGCAAATCATTTTTCCAATCTATATTCAGTAGCAGCTGTAGCAACTGCAAAATGACTTACTGTTCATAACACTTTGCTTTGGCGACAGGAAGGAAATTAGACAAACTGTAAAGGTCTCCATATTTCATTCCATATTTATGTAAAAACCCAAAACACAATAATCCTTTGCGGTTGTTCCTGGTGTCACATGGGCCAGAGAATCGTGGAGTGAAGGAATTGGCAAAGCCAGCAAGTTGGTGATCAGAGGGCAGCTCCAGAGAGAGAGAGTTACCAAGCACAAGGGGCAGGGGGAGCTTGGCAAAGGGCCAGCCATAGGTCAGGGTGGCCATCACCCTACCCTCACGCCACCTATGTCCATACACAGACACCCACTGTCCACTCTCTTCCCTCTCAGCTCCTTCTCTTAGGAAAGGTTCTATTTTTATTTTTAATTTTTATTTATTTTTCTTTTGAGACGGAGTTTCGATCTGGTTGCCCAGGCTAGAGTGTAATGGCGCGATCTCGGCTCACTGCAACCTCCACCTCCCAGGTTCAAGCGATTCTCCTGCCTGAGCCTCCCGAGTAGCTGGGATTACAGGCATGTGCCACCACACCTGGCTAATTTTGTATTTTTAGTAGAGATAGGGTTTCTCCATGTTGGTCAAGCTGGTGTCAAACTCCTGACCTCAGGTGATCTGCCCGTCTCAGCCTCCCAAAGTGCTGGGATTACACGCATGAGCCACCGTGCCTGGCCGAAAGGTTTTATTTTTATTTATTTCTTTATTTAGAGACAGAGTCTCAATCTATCCCCCAGGCTGGAGTGCAATGGCGCGATCTCTGCTCGCTGCAACCTCTGCCTCCAGGGTTCAAGTGACTGTCCTGCCTCAGCCTCCCGAGTAGCTGGGATTACAGGCTTGCGCCACAACGCCCAGTTAATTTTTATATTTTTTGTAGAGATGGGGTTTCGCCATGTTGGACAGGTTGGTCTTGAACTCCTGACCTCAAGTGATCTACCCGCCTCAGCCTCCCGAAGTGCTGGGATTATAGATGTGAGCCACCATGCCCGGCCAACTCTTAGGAAAGGTTCTGACAGAAGTCATTTAAGCCTCAAGGTGGATGTAAGACACTCCACTGCCTCTCTCTAAAGGTATTTCCATTTTTACCCTTATCACTGTTTAAATACAGACGTGTCCAATCTTTTGGCTTCCCTGGACCATACTGGAAGAAGAATTGTCTTGGGCCACACATAAAATACACTAATGATAGCTGATGAGCTTAAAAAAAAACTGCAACAAAATTTCATAACGTTTTAAGAAAATTTACGAATTTGTGTTGGGCCCCATTCAAAGCCATCCTGGGCCATATGTGGCCTGCGCGCTGTGGATTGGACAAGCCTAGTTTAAAACCTTTAGTACAAAATTCAAAATTCAAGCCCTCTGGCCAAGCACAGTGGCTCCTGCCTGCAATACCAATGACACATTGGGAGGCCAAGGCGGGAGGATTGCTTGAGCCCAGGAGTTCAAGCCTGCAGTGAACCATGATCATGCCACTGACCTGGGGAACAAAGCAAGACCCTATCTTAAAAAAAAAATCTCAAGCCCCCTAATGTAAGAAAGCACTCCCGGCTGGGCACGGTGGCTCATGCCTGTAATCCTAGCACTCTGGGAGGCTGAGCCGGGTGGATTGCCTGAGCTCTGGAGTTTGAGACCAGCCTGAACAACATGGTGAAGCACTGTCTCTACTAAAATACAAAAAAAAAAAAAATTAGCCGGGCTTGCGACTGTAGTCCCAGCTACTCGGGAGGCTGAGGCAGGAGAATTGCTTGAACCCAGGAGGCGGAGATTGCAGTGAGCCGAGATGGCACCACTGCACTCCAGCGAGACTCCATCTCAAAAAAAGAAAGAAAGAAAAGAAAGAAAGAAAGAAAGAAGGAAAGAAAGAAAGAAAGAAAGAAAGAAAGAAAGAAAGAAAGAAAGAAAGAAAGAAAGGAGAGAGAGAAAGAAAGAAAGAAAGAAAGAAAGAAAGAAAGAAAGAAAGAAAGAAAGAAAGAAAGAAAGAAAAAAGAAAGAAGGAAGGAAAGAAGGAAGGCACTCCAGTTTGCTTCTCCTGCCAGTTCATCATTACTCCACCAACTCCATGTTGCAGTCACACTCAACATGCCGGGCATGTGGTGACCAACAGTTCTGCACCTTGACCACAGTGGTAGTTAACAATGTCTGTTTCATGGTATTGATGTTGTAACGTAGTTATGCAAGATGCCACATTGGGAGAGGATGGAGGATGGGTGCCTAGCACCTCCCTGTATATATATATATTTTTTTTACAACTTCCTGTGACTCTACCATTATTTCAAAATAAAATGATTGGCTGAGTGTGGTGGCCCAAGTCTGCAATCCCAGCACTTTGGGAGGCTGAGGCGGGCAGATTGCCCGAGCCCAGAAGTTCAAGACCAGTCTGGGCAACATGGCGAAACTCCGCCTGTACAGAAAATACAAAAATTAGTCAGGTGTGGTGGTACGTGCCTGTTGTCTCAGCTACTTGGGAACTACAGGTCGAAGTCAAGGATTCAGTGAGCTGGGATCATGCCACTGCACCCCAGCCTGGGTGAGAGAAAGACCTTGTCTCAAAAAAAAAAAAAATTATTAAAATAAAATGTGCCAAGTCTCTCATGTCTTTCTCTCTTTTCTGAGAACATTAGCATTCTCATACATACTTTCTAGACCTTCCTCATTCTTCAAAATCAGCCCGCTCATCATCACTCAGCACCAAATAGGCCCTCAATAAATGTTTGATGAATGGGCAAATGAATGGTCCCTGTTATTTATGTGATAAAGAATTAATAAACCAGCAAAGGCTGGGCACAGTGGCTCATGCCTGTAATCCCAGTACTTTGGGAGGCTGAGGTGGGTGGACCACGGGGTCAAGAAATCAAGACTATCCTGGCCAACATGGTGAAACCCCGTCTTTACTGAAAATACAAAACTTAGCTGGGCGTGGTGGCGCATGCCTGTAATCCCAGCTACTCAGGAGGCTGAGGCAGGAGAATTGCTTGAACCAGGGAGTCAGAGGTTGCAGCAAGCCAAGATCACATCACTGCACTCCAGCCTGGCGACAGAGCAAGACTCTGTCTCAAAAAAAATAATAAAATAAAATAAAAATAAATAGCTGGGCACAGTGGCTCACGCCTGTAATCCCAGCACTTTGGGAGGCCAAGGTGGGTGGATCGCCTGAGGTCAGGAGTTCAAGACCAGTCTGACCAATATGATGTAATCCTATCTCTACTAAAAACACAAAAATCAGCCGAGTGTGGTGGCACGCACCTGTAATCCCAGCTACTTGGGACGCTGAGACAGGAGAATCACTTGAACCCGGGAGCCAGAGGTTGCATTGAGCTGAGATCGTGCCATTGCACTCCAGCCTGGGCAACAAGAGCGAAACTTCGTCTCTAAATAAATAAATAAACCAAAATTTAGCAGTTAAAAGGATGAGCTCGGAAGTCAGGCTGCCTGACTGCATTCCCAGTTCTACACTCTCTGTGTTCCTGAGTGCCTCTGAGCTTCGTTTCCTCATCTTAAGTAGGAATAGTATGTCCATAGTAGGATCGTTGTGAGAATTCAATGAGTTAATACACATAAAGTGCTTACAACACTGCCTGGGCACAAAGTAAGCTCTTAAAATTGGGCTTTTATTATATCTGGGATGGCTTTTCTGACCTGTCTCCAAACATATCACTAACCCCCATGTTCCCACATGTACCCAAAACATCCCGTGCTGCTCCTCCACCCATCCCCATGCCTCCATCTTGCCGCCAGCATCATCTTATCATACTGTGTCCTGGTTATCTACTGCTGTGTAACAGACCACCCCAAGAGTAGTGGCTTAAAACAACCATACCTTTTATTTTGCTCAAGAATCAACAGTTTGGGCAGGCTCTGTGAGAATGACTTTTCTTTGCTCTAGATGGTAACAGCCCAAGTGGCTCAAAGGCTGGGGAATGGATCTAAAGCCATATTCACTCACATGCCTGGTGCTTGATGCAGGCTATCAATTGAGACCTTAGCTGGGGCTCCTGGCCAGAACACAGACACACAGCCTCTTCGTGTATCCTGGGCTCTCTCGTGACATGATGGCTGAGCTCCAAGGGCAAATGTCCGAACAGAAAAAGAGCCAAGAACAAGCCATATCACCTTTTATGACCTGGTCTCAGAAGCCACCTGGTGTTACTTCCTCTACTATCTATTCATCAAGGAAGTCCCAAAGGTCCTCCCAAGTTCACAGTAAGAGGAAATAAACTCCAACTCTTTTTTTTTTTTCTTTTTTCAGACAGCGTCTCACTCTGTTGCCCAGGCTAGAGTATAGGGGCATGATCTCGGCTCACTGCAACCTCTACCTCCTGGGTTCAAACCATTCTCCTGCCTCTGCCTCCCGAGTAGCTGAGATTACAGGCGTCCGTCCTCATGCCCAGCTAAGTTTTGTATTTTTTTAGTAGAGATGGAGTTTCACCATGTCGTCCAGGCTGGGCTCGAACTCCTGACTTCAGGCGATCCACCAGCCTTGGCCTCCCAAAGTGCTGGGACTGCAGGCATGAGCCACTGCACCCAGCCGAACTCTTGATGAGGGAGTAGCAAGGTTCTGGCAATGTGGGACCAGAGATATTACTGTACTAACCGTGTGTTTTACTTTTTGTATCTTGATGCTTTGAGATCTGGGGCCTTGCTGACTCTGAAGGGACTACTCCTCCCAGGATTAGCCAATTCCTAGAGACAATAAACAAGCTCAAGTTCTAACTCCTTAGGATAGAATTCAAGACCCCCTCCAATTAGGCCTCAGTCTAACTTCCTACCTTCCCTCTCTCTAGCCCCTCTACAAACTGCTCCAACGGTTTAGCCAATTTCCTGTTCTCCAAAGACACCTCGCAATTACTCTTTACTGGATCTCTTGCTCACCTTTCAAAGTCCAACCTGAGCCCTGGCTCCTCCGTGTTCCTCCATGCTCCTCCGTGAAGCCATTCCCATTCATAGGGATGCATGTCCTTTCTGAATCCTGTCTCACAGCATTCATCCTCTGTACCAGTCCCTTTATTGCTTGGTTATACAACAGATCTACCTATGTTGTTAATTAGATTCTGAAGATTAAAGCTCTAAGGAACTTTAAGAGATTATTTTGTTCAACACCCTTAATTTGAGGCGAGGAAACCAGGCCTGAGCGATTACTGGCCCAAGGTCCCAGCACTCATTAATGGCAGGGGAAGGAATAGAAGCCACAAACCCATTTCTACTTTATTCTCTTTCTTTAACACCAGGTTGCCTCTATTCAGCTATTTTAAATGTGTTAGTCTTGTCCCTGGCAGAGTTTTGAAGCTATATTAGGGCAGGCAAGGACTACATCTTAAGTCGCTTGTATCCTGACAACATCCAGCAATGTCTTAGTAAATCTATGTTGAAACCATAAAAATATTTCTAGGTCTTTCCTTTACCCACTAGGAACCGAAACTTTTCTTTTTCTTTTTTTTCTTTTCTTTTTTTTTTTTGAGAGAGAGTCTCACTCTGAAGTCCAGTGGTACGATCTTGGCTCACTGCAACCCCTGCCTCCGGGGTTCAAGAGATTCTCATGTCTCAGCCTCCCAGGTAGTTGGGACTACAGGCGCACACCACCACACTGGACTAATTTTTGTATTTTTAGTAGAGACAGGGTTTCACCATGTTGGCCAGGCCAGTCTCAAATTCCTGGCCTCAGGTGATCTGCCTGCCTTGGCCTCCCAAATTGCTGGGATTACAGGCATGAGCCACGGCACCCAGTGTTGAAATTTTTCTTTCTTTTTTTTTTTTTTTTTTTTTTTTTGAGATGGAGTCTCGCTCTTGTCCCCAGGCTGGAGTACAATGGCACGATCTTAGCTCAATGCAACCTCCACTTCCTGGGTTCAAGCGATTCTCCCTGCCCCAGCCTCCCAAGTAGCCAGGACTACAGGTGCCCACCACCATGCCCAGCTAATTTTTTGTATTTTTAGTAGAGACAGGGCTTTGCCACGTTGGCCAGGCTGGTCTCGAACTCCTGACCTCAGGCGATCGCCCACCTTGGCCTCTCAAAGTGCTGGGATTACAGGCGTGAGCCACCATGCCCAGCCGAAATTTTTCTTAAGAATAAAACGTTTTTCTCCTCTTTTAATACAGAATACCTTTCTTATGAGTTTTCTAAAAGTACGTTAAGCAAACCAAAACAAAAGGAGGTGGGTAATGTACCTGAAGAAACTTAGCCAATTCAATTTTTGCAACCTCAGAAGCATGTTCCATTTACTTCTTGGAACTAACTGTGGTCCCACCATAAATTGAACCAGATACACTTGTTCTAATGTTATCTCAACTTTGCAGGCAGATTGTAACCCAGGGTTGGTTTAGTTCATCTATTTCCTAGTCCATTAATCCACTGCTCTTGCTGTCTCAGCCGTGTGGGCATTCTTTCAGTTGGAACATACAGAGGCTGCTTTCTCCTCCAAAAGCTTAAAAGCAACAAAGCAAGAAAGAGAGAAAAAGCAAGAAAGCAAGAAACTGAGAAAAAGCAAGAAAGCAAAAAAGCAAGAAAGGGAAAGCAAGCAAACACAGCTTCTACCTCTTCCCTTATAGAATCAGAGCCCCTTGAGAGTGCCTACAGGATCTACTTAGAAAGGTTATTTTGCAAATGTCCCATTAGCTACGGCATAATACAGCTCTCCTCCAGCAGAAAAGCTCTGCTTTCTGGGAGTCTGTTCCCTCCTCAGCCTAATGGATTCTGTCAGGGGCAGGATGTGGCTTTTGCCATCACGGGCCATAAAACCCAGGAGTAATGGCTGCAGTGATGGCGGCCTCCTGCCGGCCCATCAGCACGGGAGTTTGACGGTGAGGAGGAGAGAAAGGAAAACTGGGAAAAGTTCTGAATGCTCAATAACTTTTCAGAGGTAAGATGAGGGAGAGAGAGACCTAGAGCCATAATTGCAGAAGCCTCTTGCAAAATTTAATTAAAACTTGGGCAGAAACAAACACCAGAAACAAGTGTCATTCATCAACTTAAACCGCCAACTAAGGTAAACACTGCCACAAACTCAGGAAAAGAAAGGGAGGAGAATGGAACGAGGGGTGATCACTCTAGATATCAAGCAAATCAAATTACCCTGAAGGCCCTGCCAGACACATGCATTAATCATTGGTTATCCCAGCTGCACACCTGTATGGAGAGGAGAACTTGGCGTCCTCAAATTGACTCTGGCTGGCAAAGTGGGAAAGCAGAAGGACAGGGTGGCAGGCCAAGGGGAACCCAATCCAGAAGTGGCCACGTGGCACCCACGGCTCTGCACTGGCCAGGTGGAAGAAGGAGGAACCACGTAAGATTCAGGCGAGGGCGTACAATCATCCCCAGCTTTCCAGTCTTGCTTCTTGTTTTCTGGAGCCTATGTAGCTGGACAAACCTGCTGAGCTGCAACGTGAAGCAACTTTCCCCGGGAGGGGGAAGGCTTCAGGGTGAATCCAAGCCAACTCCAGGGATAACAGAGTGGGAAAGCAAGTTGAGCTTTCAAATCCTTTATGTGGCTGGTTTTCTTCTCTCGTGAGATTCAGCATTTAGTAGGAGGGAGACGGGGTAGGGTGGGGTGGGGACAAAGTGAGCCGTTGACTTTGTTTCCTGGGTCACAGGCTTTGTACACCCACAAGTCCCGAGGGCAGGTCACAAGCTGAAATCTTCTTACTCCAGAGAGAGGAGGCTGGAGAGCAGCTCAGCCATCCAGGCTGGGAGCTATTTGCACTTGATGAGCAATTTCAAGTGGGAACCATCAGAGTGTGTGCCTGTGTGAATGCCAGAGTGCATTTAGAGGGAACAAATGATTTATTATCGGGGCCTCAACAAAGTTACATTCGAAAAGGGAGGGAGCCTCTTATTCCCCTCCTTATCATTAAAACCTTAAAGAGGTAGAATCCATTTGGTCTCTTAAGCCAGGCTGGAAGGGAGTCACAGCTAATCAAGCAGCCCGCTCAGCTCCTTCAGCCCTTCTTTGAGTACAACAATATGTATAAACTGGCAAAAGGGACTACAGACTGCTTTGATGTTAAACAAAGAGGAAAACCTCCAAAACACGGTAAAAATTGTATCTCTGTTTAACTCTTCCGCGTCCTTTCTTCAGCACAAATTTAAGACACGTACAGCTAGGCTCCAGGGAGAGGTACATAATGAAAAATTATCATTTCAGATACTTAGATCCAAGTATTTTGTAGCAAGAGAAAATGTCCAGTCTCCTCTTCTGAATTACTTTCTCTGCTTACGTTTTTTTGTTTGTTTTGTTGTTGTTGTTGTTTTTGAGATGGAGTTTCACTCTTGTTACCCAGGCTGGAATGCAGCGGCATGATCTCGGCTCACTGCAACCTCCATCTCCCGGATTCAAGCAATTATCCTGCCTCAGCCTCCCGAGTAGCTGTGATTACAGGCACCTGCCACCAAGCCCGGCTATGATTAAATATTACTTCACTAATAACAAATACTGTGCTCTGGCCAGGTGCAGTGGTTCACACATGTAATCCCAGCACTTCAGAAGGCTGAGGCGGGAGGATCACTTGAGCCCAGGAATTTGAGATCAGCCTGGGCAACACAGTAAGACCCCTGTCTCTACAAAAAATAGAAAAAATTAATTGGGCATGGTGGCGTGCACCTGTCCTCCCAGCCACTTGGAAGGCTGAGGCAGGAGGATCACTTGAGTCCAGGAACTCAGAGACTACAGTGAGCTGTGGTCGTGCCACTGCACTCCAGCATGGGTGAAAGAAGGAGGCCCTATCTCAAAACTAGATAAATAAATAAAATACTGTTTTTTGAGCAGTTTCTGGGGCCTGATACTACAAGAAGAGCTCTACGGTGACCACCTCATTTAATCCTTCAATAACCCTGTGAGATCCATATTGTTGTCTCACCTTAAAACTGGAGGAATAGACGAGCTAAGGGACATGCCTAATATGTCCCAGCCTATGATAGAGAAGTGTTCTTTTTTTACTTGAGACTGAATCTTGCTGTGTCACCCAAGCTAGAGTGCAGTGGCACAATCTTGGCTCACTGCAACTTCTGCCTCCCTGCAACTTCCGCCTCCCAGGTTCAAGCGATTCTCCTGCCTCAGTCTTCCGAGTAGCTGGGATTACAGGCGCACACCACCATGCCCAGCTAATTTTTGTATTTTTAGTAGAGATGGAGTTTCACCATGTTGGTCAAGCTGGTCTTGAACTTCTGACCTCAGGTGATCTGCCCACCTTGGCCTCCCAAAGTGCTGGGATTACAGGCATGAGCCATCACGCCCAGCCTAGAGAAGTATTCTTTTTAAATTTGTAATTCATTTGAAATGGATTTTTTTTTTTTGAGACGGAATTTCGCTCTTGTTGCCCAGGCTGGAGTGCAATGGCACGATCTTGGCTCACCGCAACCTCCGCCTCCCGGGTTCAAGTGATTTTCCTGCCTCAGCCTCCCAAGTAGCTAGGATTACAGGAGTGCACCACTACGCCCAGCTAATTTTGTATTCTTAGTAGAGACAGGGTTTCTCCATGTTGGTCAGGCTGGTCTCAAACGCCTGACCTCAGGTGATCTGCCCACCTTGGCCTCCCAAAGTGCTAGGATTACAGGCGTGAGCCATCACGCCCTGACAAAATGGAATTTTTCTAAAATATATTGTATGCTTCCAGGGCTTACAAAAGAAAATTCCTAGGAAATGTCCAGAGGAAATGATCCCTGGGCAGGTTGGAATTCCAGCCTTTAGGTCTTCAGGGATGCCAGGGAAGGAGAATCTGTTGTGAACAAAGACCACAAATTGCTGCCTATGTGGAGAAGAGGAGCACGTGCCGGCGCAGCCGGACAGAAGGAGAAGTCAGAGGAGTTGAAGGTTGGAGGTTTGGTGAAGTAAAAGAGAGCACTAGGAAGGTTTTCAATCACTATAGGTTGAAAACCAGCCATGGTTCAAGAAGGAAGAAGCTCATAAGATTCCGGCATACATATTGTCCCACTTCTCCTTGGTAATGATGGGGTTCAGGACACGCTATCACACAATATGGCACCTTGGCACATCAGAGGCAGAAAGGTCACTCTCTCTTTCCCCTTGCCCTCCCTGCTGAAGCAGATCATAAGACCTTCACTCCAGAGGTGCTCTCCCTACACCTGGAGGAAAGGAGCTTCCTTATCGACGTAGGAGCACAGAGAAGAATCTGAACAAACAGGATCTGCTAGACACCCCCAGTTTGTCACCGTTAGAGTCAACCCACGTCGTCCAATCACATTTCTCTACAACCATCCTCTCTTCACCAAACCTAAGCACACAAATACACAGGTTTCCCTGTTCCTTTGGCTTTTCATTTCTGAAAGCTACTGTGTTTCATAAAACTTACATTAAATAAATTTGTGGGGCTGGGCACAGTGACCCATGCCCATGATCCCAGCATGCCAGGAAGCCAAGACAGGAGAATCGCTTGAGGCCAGAAGTTGAAGACCAGCCTGGGCAACATGGCGAGACCCCATTGCTAAAAAAAAATAAATAAATAAAATTAATTAATTAATTAATTAAAAATTAAAAATTAGCCAGGCATGGTGGTGCATGCCTGTGGTCCTAGCTATTTGTGAGGCTGAGGTGGGAGAACTGAGCACAGACATTCAGGGCTCCAGTGAGCTATGATCTCACCACTGCACTCCAGCCAGGTGATAAAATGAGACCCTGTCTCTCTTTTTTTTTTTTTTTTTGAGATGGAGTCTCACTCTGTCACCCAGGCTGGAGTGCAGTGGCACAATCTCGGTTGACTGCAACCTCTACCTCCCGAGTTCAAGCAATTCTCCTGCCTCAGCCTCCTGAGTAGCTGGGACTACAGGCATGCACCACTATGCCTGGCTAATTTTTCTATTTTTAGTAGAGATGGGGTTTCACCATATTGGCCAGGCTGGTCTCAAACTCCTGACCTCAGGTGATCTGCCCGCCTCAGCCTCCCAAAGTGATGGGATTACAGGCGTGCAGCCACACCCAGAGACCCTGTCTCTAAAAAAAAAAATTATAAAATAAATTTTGCCGGCCGTAGTGGCTCACACCTGTAATCCCAGCACTTTGGGAGGCCGAGGCGGGCGGATCACGAGGTCAGGAGATCGAGACCATCCCGGCTAACACGGCAAAACCCCGTCTCTACTAAAAATGCAAAAAATTAGCCAGGCATGGTGGCGTGGTGGCCTGTGGTCCCAGCTACTCGGGAGGCTGAGGCAGGAGAATGGCTTGAACCTGGGAGGCGGAGCTTGCAGTGAGCTGAGATCGTGCCACCGCACTCCAGCCTGGGTGACAGAGTGAGACTCTGTCTCAAAAAACAACAGCAAAAACGTTTGTGGACAAAAACAATCGTGGTGATGGTTGAGTGATGTTGTTAACCTTATTCTTCTTCCTTATTGCCCTAGAGCTCCATTTCAACTCACACCAAAACATTGTATTAGATGCTCAACTTTCAGGTTAAGTATCGATCATATCCAAAGAGCATGCATGGGGTAAGACATCACCTGACTCCCAGATACTGTCATTCACATTTACAATAAAATGCAAGGATCATCTCATTATTTCGTTGTATTCAAATTGTGTGTCCATAAACCTGAGAAATGGGGATGGGGGAGGGTTGGAGTCACAAAGAACTGATTTGTGGCTGGGCACAGTGGCTCACACTTGTAATCTCAACACTTTGAGAGGCCGAGGCAGGTGGATCACCTGAGGTCAGGAGTTCGAGGCCAACCTGGCCAACGTAGTGAAACCCCGTCTCTACTAAAAATACAAAAAAATTAGCAGGGCGTGGTGGCAGGCACTTGTAATCCCAGCTACTTGGGAGGCTGAGGCAGGAGAATCGCTTGAACCCAGGAGGCTGAGGTTGCAGTGAGCTAAGATCGTGCCATTGCACTCCAGCCTGGGCAACAAGAGCAAAACTACATCTCAAAAAAAAAAAAAAAAAAACAAAAAAAAAAACTGACCTGTAATCCTAGCTTACTAGCAGAGTCACTTTGGACACTTTAATCTCCCAGCCTCAGTTTCTCATTCTGTAACATGGAACTAAGCATACCCACTTCACAGCACTATCGTGAGAGGCAATAACTCCTGGAGAGCCCTTTCAGGGGTTACTGTATGAATACACTGAATGAACAGATGCATGTTTTGCCCGCATTTACAAATATAACACCTTTACCTCCTGGCCTCTTACACCGTCAAATTGAACTTTATTAAACACTGATTGTTAAACCATAAAATTCATGGTGAGATGGATCTGTTCTGGACACCATTTTAAGGACTATGGCAATTCCAAAGTGCTCAGAGAAATTCACTGTGAGCTGGTGCCACAGCATGAGACGATATTGGAACAAAGCTACCGTGCAGAGAATTAAAGTGGGTTGAGCAGCCAATTAAATGTATGCGCTTCATACTTTCACAGGCCTTATCTCACTCAATTAATAGAATGGCATCAAAAGGTTGATATTTTTATTCCCACTGTACAGAAAGCTTCGACAACCCCCATGGTCACAGAACCAACAGCCGGCATAGCTGAGATTCATATCCAGGTCTCATTGACTCCGAAAACCCTACTTTATATATTGTTTCATGTTGTTACCTAATTTCATAATGAATTTAGATACTGGAATTGTATTAAGAGTACCCAGAACATTATTATTATTATTATTATTAATTATTTTGAGTTGGAGTCTCGCTCTGTCGCCCAGGCTGGAGTGCAGTGGCGCAATCTCAGCTCACTGCAAGCTCCGCCTCCCGGGTTCATGCCATTCTCCTTCCTCAGCCTCCTGAGTAGCTGGGATTACAGGCGCCCACCACCACACCCGGCTAATTTTTTTGTATTTTTTAGTACAGACAGGGTTTCACCACGTTAGCCAGGATGGTCTCGATCTCCTGACCTCGTGATCCGCCCGCCTCAGCCTCCCAAAGTGCTGGGATTACAGGCGTGAACCACCGTGCCCGGCCCCAGAACATTATTTAAGGCTGGACTGTTTCAGGCAAATTTTCAATGGTTTGCGATCCATGGGTGAGTGATTCTGAATATTACTGGTGAAACGCAATTTCTCTCTCCATCTGTCTTCCACTTCCTGTTTCTGTCTTTCTCCATCCCTTCCTGCTGACCCCCGCCATGACTTCATAGTGTCCTCATCAATGTAAAGATGAGATTGTAAATCCAAGATTTTTTTTTTCTATTTAATATACTAGGTAAAGAGAGAGAAGCCAAGAGAGAGAGGGAGAGAAATTACAAAGACGTATTCCTTAACCTCAAGAGTTTATCCTTGACATCTGTACTGAAAACATTTACTCTAAGGCTAAAGTAGTACTTTCATGTCTCTGCTGGTACTTTAGGCAGAGTTTCTAAAACAGTGTGCCAAGATCATGGGTCCTAGTGAGGATACTGATCCCTTCAAACATCAGGGCAGCCAGAGCTGGGGTGACCTCAGTTCCTGGTCTGTCACCTCCAGCCAACAGCAGCCCTTACCAATATTATCATCTCTATATGGACCTCCCCAGGAGAACGATTAGGAAGCTCTGTCTCAAGTCGGGAGGCAAACGTTGGGCAGAAAAACCATGTGGCAGAGGTATGCCTTGAAACACTCCCCAGAAGACCCAAGGTGTCCATATATGTTTCTCCTCTAGGAGAAATATGGCATAGAAGAGTCCAAAAATTGGCCGGGCATGGTGGCCCACACCTGTAATCCCAGCACTTTGGGAGGCCGAGGCGGGCAGATCACTTGAGAGAAGGAGTTCGAGACCAGTCTGGACAACATGGTGAAACTCCATCTCTACTAAAAATACGAAAAATTATCCAGGTGTGGTAGCGCACGCCTGTAATCCCAGCTACTTGGGAGGCTGAAGTACAAGAATCGCTTGAACCCTGGAGGCGGAGGTTGCAGTGAGCCAAGATCGTGCCATTGCACTCCAGCCTGGGCAACAGAGCAAGACTCCATCTCAAATGAAAAATCAAAAAAAAAGAGTCCAGGACGGGCGCGGTGGCGCACTTTGGGAGGCCGAGGCAGGCGGATCACGAGGTCAGGAGTTCAAGACCAGCCAGGCCAATATGGTGAAACCCCGTCTCTACTAAAAATACAAAAATTAGCCAGACGTGGTGGTGCGTGCCTATAATCCCAGCTAGTCAGGAGGCTGAGGCAAGGGAATTGCTTGAACCCAGGAGGCGGAGGATGCAGTGAGCCAAGATCACGCCATTGCACTCCAGCCTGGGTGACAGAGCAAGACTCCGTCTCAAAAAAAAAAAAAAAAAAGAGTCTGAAAATCTAGACCTGGAACTGTCACTAAACTCCCTGTATGTTCCTTCCCCTCCCAGAGTAGGCCTTGACTCTCTAAAGCCCTCTACCATTCTAACTTCCTGGTTGGAAAAAATATATCTATCACTTAGACACGAAGGTGCAGCTCAAAGGAAGAAATATGGCAGCATTTGCAGCATGAGAGTCAGTCATTTTATTTTTTTGGTTTAAAGTGAATTTTCATTTAGTTCAACTCCAACCATCCTGATGGAACCACAGTTTGGCTGAAGGGTAAAACAATGTGTGCACTGGAGTGACTCGTGTAGATGTGACCTAATTCTCAGCCGCCCCACCAATATTTTATTCTTCAAAACTGACCTACTAGACAACTGGCGTTTGACATTGCTGTTGCTAATGCATGCGAGTATGCCTCAGCCTCTTCCTGGAAACTGTGGCATCCTTATCTCCATCTCCCGGAGCCCCAGGGACTTTCCAGGGAGGGGCTGCTATCCTGGGGAGTAAGCACAAGAACTAACTTGCTGTTTTGTCTTCAGACCACAAACATCTATTATTTGAGCAACCATTTCTACGATAACCAGGTTACCCTAACTCTCTAAGCCTCAGTTTCCTCTTCTGTAAGATAGGAATAACAGCCAGGCACAGTGGCTCACGCCTATAATCCCAGCACTTTGGGACGCTGAGGTGAGTGCATTACCTGAGGTCAGGAGTTCAAGACCCGCCTGGCCAACATGGTGAAACCCCATTTCTACTAAAAATACAAAAATTAACCAGGTGTGGTGGCGTGTGCCTGTAATCCCAGGTACTCGGGAGGCTGAGGCAGGAGAATCGCCTGAACCCGGGAGGCGGAGTTTGCAGTGAGCCAAGATCACACCATTGCACTTCAGCCTGGGCGACACAGCAATACTCCATCTCCAAAAAAAAACAAAAAAAAAGAGATAGGAATAACAATATCCACGTCAGAGGACAGTTGTGATAATTAAATGAGAAAATGTATGTAAAGTGTTTGACACAGGCCAATCACCTCCTTCTCCTCCTGGCTTTTTTCATAGCCTTCTCCATAGACGATACTGAGTGAGGAGTCCCAAGACGGGGAAAAACTGGTGCTGAGAGGACAAGCAGGCAAAGAATCCTAGACAAGGCCTAGATGGCTCACGCCTGTAATCCCAGCACTTTGGGAGGCCAAGATGGGTGGCTCTCTTGAGGTCAGGAATTTGATACCAGCCTGGCCAACATGGTGAAACCCCATCTGTACTATAAAAATACAAAAATTAGCTGGTGTGGTGGCCTGTGCCTGTAATCCTAGCTACTCGGGAGGTGGAGGCAAGAGAATTGCTTGACCCGGGTGGCGGAGGTTGCAGTGAGCAGAGATCGCGCCACTGCATTCCAGCCTGGGTGAGGAAGACTTTGTCTCAAAAAAATAATAATGATAATAATTAATTAAAAGAAGAAAATTAAAAAAATAATAAGAAGAATCCTAGACAAGAAAGAGTCCGTTTCAAGGTCACAGTCTTTTCCTGGAATGAGTCGGTAACTGGAGGTACAACATTTCAGGAAGAGGGGAATTGAGCTAAACAATAAGCTACTAAGCCTGCAGCTCTTAGACAAATGTGGACTTGTGAATGTAAATCTAACAATTTTGACATATAAAAATGTTTTTTTAATTCCACAAATTAAAAGTAGGGCCAGGTGTGGTGGCTCACACCTGTAATCCCAGTGCTTTGGGAGGCTGAGGTGGGAGGATGGCTTAGCTCAGGAGTTCAAGACCAGCCTAGGCAACAGAGCAATACCCATCTTTACAAAAAGTAAAAAATTAACCAGGTGTGGTGGCACATGCCTGTAATCTCAGGTACTCAGGAGGCTGAGATAGGAGGATCAATTGAGCCCAAAAGTTTGAGTCTGCAGTGAGCCATGATCACACCACTTTACTCCAGCCTAGGCAACAAAGCAATACCCTTTCTCAAAAGAAAAAAAATTCAAAGGAGATTGACACCATTTGTGAGAACATTTGTGCTATCCCCACAGGTGGCAATGAATAGTTTGCTTCATTGGAAGTATATGTCTCTTTGACTCCCGTAGAAAACACACAGCAAACTAGAGACTGGGGACCCCAGAAGTGGATTTGGGCTTATGGGTAATACAGAATACGCACTTTTTTTTTTTTTGAGACGGAGTCTCGCTCTGTCCCCCAAGCTGGAGTGCAGTGGCACAATCTTGACTCACTGCAAGCTCTGCCTCCTGGGTTCACGCCATTCTCCTGCCTCAGCCTCCCAAATAGCTGGGACTACAGGCACCCACCACCACGCCTGGCTAATTTTTTTGTATTTTTAGTGGAGACGGGGTTGCATCATGTTAGCCAGGATGGTCTTGATCTCCTGACCTCGTGATCCGCCTGCCTCGGCCTCCCAAAGAGCCTCACAAAGAGCTGGGATTACAGGCGTGAGCCACCGCGCCTGGCTAGAATATGCACTTTTAAAACTACAGAATGGCTGGCGTTTGCTGTTACCACTTTATACATATGTGCTTGCCTCTTTCTAAGTCACTAAAACCAATGTTTACACTGTTTATACTGCATATGTATCAAGAAACATAAAAGTGCTCATTCTGTTTGACTCGTTCATTGTTTTTGTTTTTGTTTTTTTAAGACAGAGTCTCACTCTGTTGCCCAGGCTGGAGTGCAATGGCGTGATCTCGGCTCACTGCAACCTCCGCCTCCCGGGTTCAAGCGATTCTCCTGCCTCAGCCTCCCGAGTAGCTGGGGTCACAGGCATGCGCCATCACGCCTGGCTAATTTTCTTGTATTTTTAGCAGAGACAGGGTTTCACCACGTTGGCCAGGCTGGTGTCGAACTCCTGACCTCATGATCAGCCTGCCTCAGCCTCCCAAAGTGCTGGGATTACAGGCATGAGCCACCATGCCCAGCCCCATTCATTCTATAGCTGGGAATTTTTCCTAAGGGAATAATTCAGTGGCTTAAGCTAGAAACCTGGACATTATTGTCAGGACACTGCCACAGGCAAGAACAGATGGTGACAAAGTGAGCCATAGTACAGCCACTCAGGTGAATACACAGCCATTAAAAACAATGTTTTCTGTAATCCATGTTATAGCATGGGAAATGCCTATAATATTAACTGAAAAGGGACAAAATATTAAATATAAGGATGATTACATCTCTACTTTTTTATTTTTATTTATTATTATTATTATCTATTTATTTGTATTTATTTTATTTTTTAGTAGAGATGGGGTTTCACCGTGTTAGCCAGGATGGTCTTGATCTCCTGACCTCTTGATCTGCCTGCCTTGGCCTCCCAAAGTGCTGGGATTACAGGCATGAGCCACCGCGCCCTGCATCATCTCTACTTTTTAAAATCAGCATACATAAAATAAAAATACAACAGGGAACTATGCCAAAATATCAATAGTGATTTTCTTTGAGTGGGAGAGTTTTTCTTCTTTTAAATTTTTCTTTTTTTTTTTTTTTGAGATGAAGTCTTGCTCTGTCGCCCAGGCTGGAGTGCAGTGGTGCGATCTCAGCTCACTGCAACCTCCACCTCCCAGGTTCAAGTGATTCTCCTATCTCAGCCTCCAGAGTAGCTGGGATTACAGGCACCCGCCACCATGTCTGGCTAATTTTTGTATTTTTAGCAGAGATGGGGTTTCACCATGTTGGCCAAACCATCTCAAACTCCTGACCTCAAGTAATCTGCCCGCCTCGGCCTCCCAAAGTACTGGAATTACAGGCGTGAGCCACCACGCCCGGCTTCTTCTTTTAACTTTTTCTAAATTTTCTGGTTTTTAAAATCGAGGTATTATTTACATATAGAAAAGTGCACAGATCTTAAGTGTACAATGAATTTTAACAAATATGTACAACAATATCCCAAATCAAAATCTCTAAGGCTCCTTTCTTATTGATCCACTTCTGAGCACACAGGCAACCATTATTCTTATTTCTATCTCCTTACATTAGTTTTGTCTGTTCTTGAACTTTATATAAATGGAATCAAGTGTGTAATCTTTTGTGTGTGGCTTCTTTCACTCAAAATGTTTTAATGATTCATCCAAGTTGTCGAATTTCTTTTTATTATTGAGTAGTATTGCATTGGATGGACACGACACATTTTGTTCATCAAAACCATCATTTTATTTGGGTTGTTTCCAATGTTTTGCCATAGGAATAAAGCTGCAATGAACATTCTTGTAGATATATATAGATATAATATATATATTTCTTTTGAGTAAATATCTAAGAGGGGAAATCCTGGATTATTTTACATGTATATATGAATTCAACTGCCAACAATTTTTCAAACCGGTTGTACCATTTTGTACCTCAATCATCAAAGTATGACTATGAGAGTTCCAGCTGCTCCACATACTCTCCAGCATTTGGTATTGTTGCCTTTGAAATTTTTGCTGTTCTAGTGGGGGTATGACAGCACCTCGTTTTTTTTTTTTTTTGAAACAAGATCTCTCTCTATCACGTGGGCTCGAGTACAATGGCGCAATCTCAGCGCACTGCAACCTAAACCTCCCAGGCTCAAGCAATTCTCCTGCCTCAGTCTCCTGAATAGCTGGGACTATAGGTGCACGCCACTATGCCTGGCTAATTTTTGTATTTTTTTTTTTTTTTTTGTAGAGAGGGGTTTTTGCCATGTTGTCCAGGCTACCTCATTCATTTTAATTTGCATTTCCTCAATATGCATATTTTCTTTTTTCTTTTTTTTTTTTTTTGAGATGGAATCTCGCTCTGTCACCTAGGCTGGAGTGCAGTGGCACGTTCTCGGCTCACTGCAAGCTCCACCTTTGGGTTCAAGCAACTCTCCCTGACTCAGCCTCCTGACTAGCTGGGATTACAGGCGCCCGCCACCACACCCAGCTAATTTTTGTATTTAAAAGTACTTTTGTACTTAAAAGTAGAGACGGGGTTTCACCATGTTGGCCAGGCTGGTCTTGAAATCCTGACCTCAGATGATCTACCTGCCTCGGACTCTCAAAGAGCGTGAGCCACCGCGTGCGGCTTGCTTGCTTTCTCTCCTTCCTTCCTGTCTTTCTTTCTTTCTTTCTTTCTTTCTTTCTTTCTTTCTTTCTTTCTTTCTTTCCTTCCTTCCTTCCTTCCTTCCTTCCTTCCTTCCTTCCTTCCTTTCTTTATTTGTTCTCTGAGCTCAGTGGATCACACCTGTAATCCCAACACTTTGGGAGGCCAAGGCAGGTGGATCATTTGAGGTCAGAAGTTCAAGACCAGCCTGGCCAACACGGTGAGACCCTGTCTCTACTAAAAATAAAATAATTAGCTGGGCCTGGTGGCATGCGCCTGTAATCCCAGCTACTCGGGAGGCTGAGGCAGGAGAATCACTTGAACCCGGGAGGCACAGGTTGCAGTAAGCCGAGATCATGCCACTGCATTCCATTCTGGGCAACAGAGTGAGACTCTGTCTCAAAAATCATAATAATAAAAAATAAAATGTGTTTGTTCTTTAATTAGTTTCATTCCAAGAAACTCATTTTTGTTTTTTAGGGCTTTTCTTCATCCAGTCTACAGTGCTCTGGCGCAATCACAGCTCACTGCAGCCTCAACTTCCCCAGGCTCATGTGATTCTTCCATCTCAGCCTCCCAAGCAGCTGGGTCTACAGGCATGTGCTACTACCCTGGCTAATTTTTTTTTTTGAGACAAAGTCTCGCTTTGTCACCCAAGCTGGAGTGCAGTGGTGTGATCTCGGCTCACCACAACCTCCACCTCCTGGGTTTAAGCGATTCTTCTGCCTCAGCCTCCCAAGTAGCTGAGACTACAGGTGCACGCCAACATGCCTGGCTAATTTTTGTATTTTTAGTAGAGACGGGGGTTTCACTATGTTGGCCAGGCTGATCTCGAACTCCTGACCTCGTGATCCACCCGCCTTGGCCTACCGAAATACTGGGATTACAGGTGTGAGCCACTGTGCCCTTCCAATTTTTTTTTTTTTTTTGGTATTTTTTTTAGAGGTGAGGTCTCGCAATATTGCCCAGGCTGGTCTTGAACTCCTGGGTTCAAGCAATCTACCTGCCTCAGCCTCCAAAAGTGCTGGGATTACAGGTGTGAGCTACTGCATCTAGTTGTAAGAAACTTGAAACACCAATTTTAAAAGATAAACTCCATTCTCCAGGACAAACTTGGATCACAGGTAGCCCTGGAGCTGAAGAATAGCTTTTTTTTTTTTTTTTTTTTTTTGAGACAGAGTTTCCTTCTGTCACCCCAGCTGGAGTGTAGTAGCACAATCTTGGCTCACTGCAACCTCCACCTCCCAGGTTCAAGAGATTCTCATGCCTCAGCCTCCCAAGGAGTTGGGACTACAGGCACCTGCCACCACACCTGGCTGACATATATATATATATATATATATATATTTTTTTTTTTTAGTAGAGACGAGGTTTCTCTATGTTGGCCAGGCTGGTCTTGAACTCCTGCCCTTGGCCTCCCAAAGTGCTGGAATTACAGGTGTCAGCCACCATGCCTGGCCAAAATTTTTGAGTCCACAGCTTTCTTGGAGGTGGCCGGGGACCAGGGCTTGCTCTGCTCTGTAATCTCACATTTCTCTTTTTCTGTGTTGAAGATCGCACCTTCCTGGTGTCTGGGCTTCCACAGCTGCCTCTTCTTGAAGTAAGCATCAGTGAGCTATTTTGGGATTTTCACATTGCTGATATCAATTTTTGAGGAGGTGGAAACAACAAATTTCTGGTGTGCTCTTCCCAGAGGAACTCAATTGAGAATCAGAGGTTCAGTAAAAAGTAACAAGCCAGTGCCCAGTCGCTTCGGGAAAACCACTGTCTTGCCTCTGCAGTGCCCAGTGAGGATGAGCAGAGTGGTCCTGGGAGAGAGGCTGGCCCCGTTTTCTCACGTGCTGGCTGGTAGGGCTTCTGCCCTGGTTCAACAGCTCCCCAGGCTTATCATCAAGAGGACAGTACCTAGGCAATTTGCAAATTTTAACCACGCAGGTACCATCATGCTTGTCACCAGCAACTGGTTTATTAACAGTGACAAGAACAGTCCTCTTGCTTTTCAACCCTGGATTGAGCAGTTGAGTACTTCCTCTTGTACATGGTCTTTCTGGAATGCACAGCAGATTGGGAATACCTGCCAATTCCTCTGAAGAGGACAGGATTTTGTCTGCAGTGGGGCTTCCCCTTGTTGGTTTTTTTCAGCCTTGAGTCAGGTTACCCTTTTCCACCTTGCCACCTGCATCAACCTTCTTGCCTTCAGGTTTCACCTCCTTGGTATCGGGCTTCTCATCTTTTTCTTGCAAGATGGGAGAGAGAGCTAAGGTCCTGGCTTCCAGTCTATAATCAATCCAGCATATTTTTATGTACTTATTTCCCATTGTTACGCCTTCTTTTGTGAAATATCTGTCCAACTCTTCTTTAATATTTAGTCCTGAGTCCCATAGGCAAGCCCTGATCCCCGGCCACATCTAAGTCCTCATTTCAGGTCCTTTGGACCCAAGGTGAGCATTGCGGTGGGCTTCCAAAACAAATCAAGAGCTCTTACTAAAAGTAGGGTGAATGGATCTGGGTGTCCCAAAACAGTAAATGACCACCACATTGTCTTTCTCTCCCAAGCCTCCACTCTGCTCCATCTTGATCTATCAAGACCCCACCCATCCTCTCAAGGCCAAATCTAAACTCAGCCTCTTCCAAAGAATTTGTCCAAATCCCCTCCTTCCTCTTCACCACCACCATCAGAATAATTTGTTGTATTATCTCATATGACAATTCTCTCACTTTGTGTATTAGTCAGGGTTCTCCAGAGAGACAGAACCAATAGGAGGTATATATAAGGGAGCTTATATTAGGGAGAATTGGCTCACGTGATTATAAGGCAAAGTCCCCACAATAGGCCATCTGCAAGCTGGTGGGAGAGAGAGGCTGGTAGCGTGGCTCAGTCCAAGTCCAAAAGCCTCAAAACCAGAAAAGTCATCAGTGCAGCTCTCAGTGAAAGCCTGAGAGCCCTCAGGAGGCTCTCAGAGTCTGAGTCCAATGCCAAGGAGCCTGGAGTCTGATGTACAAGGTTAGGAGGAGCAGAAGCAAGTGTCCGGCACTGGAAGAGAGAAAGAGCTGGAAGAATCAACAAGCAAGCTAATCCCCCTTCTGCCTGCTTTGTTCTAGCTGCGCTGGCAGCCCATTGGATGGTGCCCCGTCCACAACATTGAGGGTGGGTCTTCCTCTCCCAATCCCCTAACTTAAATGTCAATCTCCTCTGGCAACACCTTCACAGGCACACCCAGGAACCAGCCATCTAGGCATCCCTCAATCCAATATTAATATAATACACCTAATATTAATCAGTACACTCTGCGATTTACTTCCAGGATTTGTGTTTCTGGGTCTCATTGACCCTACCACATTCTAACTTTTTAAAGATCAGAGTCAGTCTTTATTTTATTTTTTTGAGACAGAGGCTTGCCCTGTTGCCCAGGCTAGAGTGCAATGACATGATCTCGGCTCACTGCAATCTCTGCCTCCCAGGTTCAAGTGATTCTCCTGCCCCAGCCTCCCAAGTAGCTGGGATTACAGGTGCATGCCACCATGCCCTGCTAAATTTTTTCTTTTTTTTTTTGTATCTTTAGTAGAGACGGGATTTCACCGTGTTGGCCAGGCTGGTCTTAAACTCCTGACCTCTTGATCCACCCACCTTGGCCTCCCAAAGTGCTGGGATTACAGGCATGAGCCACCGTGCCTGGCCCAGAGTCAGTCTTGCAGTAACTTGGCACAGTATCATATACATAGCAAACTACACATTCCTTCATGCATTCATTCAACAAATATTTACTGAGCATCTTTTTTGCACCAAGCCTAATGCGAGAGAATGGCATGCAATGATGAACAAGATAGGCGCACCCCTGCCCTTGTGAAGCTTGTAATCATATGGAGGATATAGATAGGAAAACAGTCAATAACAGCACAAAGTGGTAAGTACTCTAATTGGAGGAGTACAGAATAATACAAGAGCATATAGGAACCACACTGAGACCTGAAAGATGAAGAGCCAAGTGAAGACTTCATAAAATTGTATTAAATATAAATGATTTAAATTAAAAATTACCAAATATACAAGGAATGGTGAACATAACCCATCAAGCAAAAACAGGGAGGAATTAAAGGTAACTCTTGCCCATTTTAGAGATACGCATCATTTGATTTGCCTCAGATGTGCTTAGGAATTTTTTTTTTTTTTCGAGATGGAGTCTCGCTCTGTCACCCAGGCTGGAGTGCAGTGGTGT
Source organism: Homo sapiens (assembly GCF_000001405.40). Lineage (NCBI taxonomy): Eukaryota > Metazoa > Chordata > Mammalia > Primates > Hominidae > Homo > Homo sapiens. Next base: position 15,106,111 of record NC_000006.12, read on the forward strand.
GATCTAGGCTTACTGCAACCTCCACCTCCCAGATTCAAGTGATTCTCCTGCCTCAGCCTTCCAAGTGGCTGGGACTCAGGCACCTGCCACTACACCCAGCTAATTTTTGTATTTTTAGTAGAGACAGAGTTTCACCATATTTGCCAGGCTGGTCTTGAACTCCTGACTTCAAGTGATCCTCCCATCTCAGCCTCCCAAAGTGCTGGGATTACAGGTGTGAGCCACCACACCCAACCAGACTTTTTTTTAAAAGCAGGAGGGAGATGTTTTGGAAGGTAAAAAGCCACAGGCTCCCACCAGGAGCAAGAACCAGTGAGTGAGGCTTCCAGATGAGGCTGTACGAGCATTTTGGTGGCATGCAAAATGTAGGGATTCAGGAGGAGGAGGGAGGATGGAAGGAAAAAGTTGAAAAAGCAGTTACGAATTGTGAAGAGAAATGATAGTGTTTATTTCTAAATGACAACTCTTTATCTTCTTACCCCAGGCCTATTTGTTGACAAGCCATTCTGTCAAAATCTGTTGGTCAAGGAAAGGGAGACCCACGTACATGTGGCACATTAGGCCTTGATCTTGTCTCTGTTGGAATTCAAAGGCTCTCCCGTAAGCAATCAGCTTCCTAATGGGCACAAGGCACCTCTGGGAATGGGAATTTGACCAGGTTTGTCAAAACCGCCAGACAGAAGCAGAGTCTTTCTCATTTTCCTGTTTCTATCACAGGAGAGGAGCAACTCCAGGGGCCATGCCAGTCCTTCAAGGACAAGAGCTAAAACTACCGTGAAAGCTGCTTACACATTAGCAGGGCACACACATAAATCCATCACATCTATTTTTTAAATCTGGATGAATAAAACAGATACAGGCCGGGCACACAGTATATCTTGGAGCTGTGGAAACAGCTTATGGAGTAACTCAATAGAGTGAAGGATTCTCACTCTCCCTCTCTCTCTCTTTCGAATCCCTATCGCCAAGCAGCAGTGAATTAAAATTGCCTGAGAAATCAAGCAGGTGGTAATCGCTTCTCTGTCAGATAAGTTATCCGAGGACAGACTTTTTTCTGAGGCGGTTACGCTGTCTTCCTCAGCTCCATGATGCAGAAACCCATAGAGATTAAAATCAGCTGCATCGTGGATACAGTTACACCCTAAAAAGAAAAGGCGTGGATGACTAGGGGAATGCCCAGAGAGCCCTGGGGTGGAGAGAGGCCGGGGAGGGTCACAGGGGCTCCCTTGAACCCAAGGCCACAGTGATGAAGACTTGGTCATGTGCCTTTAGCTTCATGGGGAGAACTGTGACAGCCAGAAGCCAGAACATGAGTTTTGCTGGCCTCTCCTCTGACTCCTGTTTAGTACTAAAGCAGGGAGGAGTTGGGGTGGGGAACTGGGGAGAGGAGGTGGAGGAAAAGTCCAGACCAGTCATCACACGATCAGCAGAACGAGTCCTTATGGGTTTGACAAATGTGGGAAGATTAGAAAAGATCTTGGGCTAAAAACAAAAACAAATGTCTTCCCATTTTCTTTACAAAACTCCCAGCCCCTCTCACCACACACTTATATACCCCAACCCCAACTAATCTGTCTTGAAGATAAACATGCTTTTTCTAAACTCTAAAACCTGTCTTCCATTAATGCTAGTCTGGAGAGTGAAGCTTTCCCTGCTGACTGATTACAGAAAATTGCTTATTTAAAGAAACCTGGACTCTCTCTTGCAGACAATGGCTTCCATTCCGGACATCATTTCAGAGACTTCCGCACAAACAAGAGAGACTAGCAAGCACCTTGAGATAATCCAGGTATAAGGGGAAGAGTACAGAGCTGGTTCACACAACCGCACCCTCACTCACACAGACACAAACACACAGCCCAACCCAGAAACTGCACCACATAGGACACAGCTGCATTTGGGCCTCTAATTACTTTACTGTCTAATTCATGCTAACACAGCAATTAGTGATAACGCTCAAAACACTCATACACATCAGCTTGACGACATTTAATTATGACAGTAGATGTATCGCACTTCAGGAGATATGTAACTTAGCAAGGAATAAGAAATCTATATGGATGGCCCATCTAAACCACCATGAAATAAAAGTAGAGGAAAGTCATGAAATCCTCACTTTGTCATTAAAAGAAAATGTTTAACGGGTGTGTTTTTATGTGAAATATGCCATTTCCAGATGCTGATTGGAAATCCGGTCTCGCTGGCTCAGAAAACATGATTAGGTTTTTATTTTTCAAAAGAAAGGAAGTGAGAAAGGAAGGAGGGAAGGAGGGAAGGAAGGAAGGAAGGAAGGAAGGAAGGAAGGAAGGGGGGAAGGGTAGCTTGGCTCTTGATTATTGCTTGATGGCTCTGTGTATTCATTCTCATTTTCAGTACCTTAGACATCAGCAGAAGATATAAGGGAAATGGGACATTTTTTGCTGGGATGCTCCTTAAGATGTGCCATTTGCTATTGGTTTACATGGGGCCTGTTCATGAGATATGATTAATAGTTCAGCAGCACTGCCAAAAAGCACATAAATCTGGCCATCCACAGTGTAATTGACACACTGCTTGTCTCGCAGATACCTACAGCACTTGCTTATCGCAGTCTAATCCCCCAGTGGGTATTCGAAGCAGCTGATTATGCAATGCCAGTTGCTTACACTACAGTTTGGGGGTCTTTTCCTTATAGCACCCAATTAGCTGTGACACAAAGCCCTACTCCCCTTGATCAACCTTGACCAGGTGTTAAGTACCAGCTGAATGAACGCAGGCGATAGCACAAATGCCACTGGAGCACCCGGCCTAAGCAGAGCGGGTGTTGAGGTGGGAACCTCCACCTACGCATTCTGCATCAAGTTGCCTTTGCTTTAGACTCGCCAAGCACCCTTGCTTTGGTTCCTCACACCCAGATCATAGCAATCTGCCACCGAACCCTGCAAGGTTACCACGGTGAGCTCCACCTGTCTTCTCCCCGACCTGCCTCACCCTCTCTTCCAGCTCATTCAACATCTCTCCTTTCCAAATCAAAATCCAGCAGCTCCTCACATTGACTTGCCGTGGGAACTTCAAAACCTCAGCCCCGCTCTCTAGTCCTCTGATTTCTCCATTTCTATGAAAATTTTAAAAACAAAAACAACACTGACTTAGCAGAGCAGCAACTGGGAAGATTAAAGATTAATAATAAACAAGTTGTAAAGCCCTTTGAAAGCATAAAATGCTGTAGGAGTAATTATTATCATTGTTATTAATCACCTCAGTTCATCACATAGAGTAAACATGCAATTATAAAGAGGGGACTCTTAAATGCAGTATCAGCAGCAAGACCCATTTATTACAATGCTATTTGCTTGGATTCCATTACAGTTATAAAATTTTGTGCTCATCTAGCACTTTTTGTCTGAGAATGTCAAAGTGCTGTACAAGCACAGGCTCTAATTAAACTAATCCTTGCAACACACAGGGAGCAGCAGAGAGAGGCCACTTCCAGTTGTGTAACTCGCCATCTAAGCACATCCTGTCCTGGTCTGGGGAGGTCTGCCTGCTGAGGGCTGCATCTAGAAACTTCCGAAATCTAACATTCCTAGGAAAGTCATATATATATGTATGTAAAAATATGTGTGTGTATATACATATACACATATACATATATATGTATACACATGTGTATATGTATGTATACACAAATATGTGTGTGTATATATACACATGTACATATATGTGTATACACATATATGTATGTGTATACATGTATACGTATAGGTATAGATATACATGTATACGTATAGGTATAGATATACATGTATACGTATAGGTATAGATATTCATGTATACGTGTACGTATTCATGTATACGTGTACGTATTCATGTATACGTGTACGTATTCATGTATACGTATATGTATACATATATACACACACACATATTTTTAAAGCACAAATAATTAATGTCAGGCATAATACACAAAGGTTTCAATATCTTCTTCTGTGTGGGAATTATGTATTCAGTGTCTTGCTAGTAACTCACATATACCTCGATCCTGCCATTTTGGTTTTTTGTTTTGTTTTGTTTTTGTTTTGAGATGGAGTCTCGCTCTGTCTCCCAGGCTGGAGTGCAGTGGCGCGATCTCAGCTCACTGCAAGCTCCACCTCCTAGTTTCACGCCATTCTCCTGCCTCAGTCTCCTGAGTAGCTGGGACTACAGGCTTCTGCCACTACGCCTGGCTAATTTTTTTTTGTATTTTTAGTAGAGGCAGGGTTTCACCATGTTAGGCAGGATGGTCTCAATCTCCTGACCAAGTGATCCACCCACCTCACCCTCCCAAAGAGCTGAGAATACAGACATGAGCCATCACACCCAGCCTTTTTTTGTTTTTTGAGATGGAGTGTTGCTCTGTTGTCCAGGCCGGAGTGCAATGGCGTGATCTTGGCTCACTGCAACCTCCGCCTCCTGGGTTCAAGTGATTCTCATGTCTCACCTTCCTGAGTAGCTGGGATTACAGACACCTGCCACCATGCCTGGCTAATTTTTGTATTTTTAGTAGAGACGGGGTTTCACCATGTTGGTCAGGCTGGTCTCAAACTCCTAACCTCAAGTGATCCGCCCAACCCAACCTTCCAAAGTGCTGGGATTACAGGATTGAGCCACTGTGCCCAGCAGATCCTGCCATTTTGGCCCATGGTTTGTGTGTTTTCCATCAAACAGAGCCTGAGAGAAAGTCTTCTGTGCCTTACTGTTTGTAACATTGCCAGCCTGGAAGTTCTCATACAGTGATGATTACTAATGACAGTAAATGAGTTTACACAGAAAAACACAATGAAAACAGTCTATGTCGTCAACATCTTGTCCCTGTGCCAGTGTCCTGCTCATCTGGGAAGAAAAACCCAGCTGTGGATCATTCTCATACAATATTACAGTATTGCCAAAACTTTGTTGTAGGTTTTGGTGTAAGTAGATGGACAGTTTTGACTGTAATAATAATTCTGCCCTACCACTAATAAGAGAAGAACAAATTCCATTCTTGGGATTTTGCATCTTTCCAATGGAAGAAGCATGATGCAATAGTTTCCAAAGTAGGGTTCTTAAACCCCAGACTGTGTGCAAGATGACCCATTGAGACCCAGAAAGGGCAGAGTTAGACCTCTATTTTATTTACTGTATTCTATTATATTCTGTAAAAAAAAAATTACATTAATTTTACTAATGTGTTATGCAATTTGAGAGTAAAACTAGTAAATATACATATACTGAGAATTCCCAACTGGGCAAGCAAAAATGTTTGAAGAGTTCAAAAAAAAGAAATGAGCAATATTTTCATAGTGAAAGACAGGTGTATTTAGGTTAGACTCTACTTCTTCATATTAGAAATGTTTTTGGGCTCAGTGGTTCATGTCTATAATCCCAGCACTTGGAAGGTCAAGGCAGGCAGATCACCTGAGATTATTAGTTCGAGACCAGCCTGGGCAACATGATGAAACCCCATGTCTACTAAAAATACAAAAATTAGCTGAGTGCAGAGCATGCACCTGTAGTCCCAGCTACTCAAGAAGCTGAGGTGGGAGGATTGCTTCAGCCCATGAGGTTGAGGCTACAGTGAGATATGATCACACCACCTGGTGACAGAGCTAGGCCCCTGTCTCAAAAAGGAAAGAAAGACAGACAGAAAGAAAGAGAGAGAGAGACAGACAGAGAGAGAGAGAGAGGAAGGAAGGAAGGAAGGAAGGAAGGAAGGAAGGAAGGAAGGAAGGAAGGAAGGAAGGAAGGGCAAATGTTATTGGGCCAGGGCCAGCCATAGTGGCTCATATCTATAATCTCAACACTTTGGGAGGCTGAGGCAGGCAGATCTCTTGAGGCCAGGAGTTCGAGACCAGCCTGGGCACATAGCTAGATCTTCATCTCTCCAAAAAAAAAAAAAAGAGAGAGAGAGCGAGCCACGCACATTTATCTATAAAGATTTGTTAAAGTCCCTGAAACCAAAGAGGATTTGTCAGGCTGGGCTGTGATTTCAGCCCTCATTCACACAGCAATTAGAATAATATTGGGCTCCCCATGTAGTTCTGACCACATTTAATTGTGACCACCGTGGGCTATGAAACATTTCCAGAAATCAAAGAACCTTAGCCCAAAGTAATACTGCCTCCCAGGTTCAAGTGATACTCATGCCTCAGCCTCCACAGTAGCTGGGATTACAGATGTGCGCCACCATGCCCAACTAATTTTTTTGTATTGTTAGTAGAGGCAGGGGTCTCACCATGTTGGCCAGGCTGGTCTTGAACTCCTGACCTCAGGTAATCCACCCTGCCTCAGCCTCCCAAAGTGCTGGGATTACAGGCGTGAGCCACCGCACCCAGACTAAAATGGCAAACTTTATATTATATATATTTTACTGTAATTTTAAAAATTGTTTTAGTGGCCACATTAAGAATAATTATAAACAGCCTGGGCGTGGTGACTTACACTTGTAATCCCAGCACTTTGGCAGGCCGAGGCGGGCAGATCATTTGAGGTGGGGAGTTCGAGACCAGCCTGACCAACGTAGTGAAACCCTGTCTCTACTAAAAATACAAAAATACAAAAAAAAAAAAAAAAAATTAGCTGGGCGTGATGGCGCACACCTGTAATCTCAGCTACTTGGGAGGCTGAGGCAGGAGAATTGCTTGAATTTTGGAGGCAGAGGTTGCAGTGAGCCGAGACTGCACCACTGCATTCCAGCCTAAGTGACAGAGCGAGACTCCGTTTCAAAAGAAAAAAAAGGATAATTACAAACAGCAGTAATTCATGTTAATAATATATCTCCCTTGGCCCAATATATTCAAAACATCATTTCAACAGGCAATCAATATTATTATTGATATTGTTATTATTAATAACCACGTGCCTGTAGTCCCAGCTACCTGGGAGGCTGAGGTGGGAGGACCACTTGAGCCTAGGAGTTCTGAACTGTCACACATGATGCCGATGAGGTGTCCGCACTAAGTTCAGCATCACTATGGTGGCCTCCATGTTGCCTAAGGAGGGGTGAACCAGCCCAGGTCAGAAGTGGAGCAGGCCAAAACTCCTATGCTGATTAGTAGTGGGAGTGAGTAGCCACTGCACTCTAGACTGGGCAACATAGCCAGACCCTGTCTCTATTAGAATAAAAAATTTTAAAATATATCTATTTTGGTCAGGTGCAGTGAGTTACACCTATAATCCCAGCACTTTGGGAGTTCAAGGCAGGTGGATCACTTCAGCCCAGGAGTTCAAGACCAGCCTAGGCAACACTGCAAAAACCCATCTCTACAAAAAATACAAAAATTAGCCAAGCATGGTCGTGCGCGCCTGTGGTCCCAGCTACTTGTGAGGCTGAGGTGGGAGAATCGCTCGAGCCCAGGAGGTTGAGGCTGCAGTAAGCTATGATTGTGCCACTGCACTCCAGCCTGGGCAACACAGCAAGACCCTGTCTCATATATATATATATATATATATATATATATATATATCTCCACATATGCACACATACACACATTCTTTTTCTCATACTATGTCTTTGAATTCCAGTGTGCATTTTACACTAACAGCACAGTTCAGATATGACTAGCTACATTGCAAGGACTCAGTAGCCACTGATCACATGTGGCTACTGAACTGGACAGTGCTACTCTAGAGGAAAAAAGATCTGTGGAGAAAAAACTAAAACTGCAGCATCATTAGAGCCCTGGTCTGTCTGCTGGGGGAGCCCTTTCAAGAAAATACAACAAAAGGAAAGGGAAGGTCATGTCTGTATTGGTGAGACCAAAGCAATCACTGGAAACCTAGAACTGCAGGAAAAAGTGTTCAATAACGTGAAGAGCAGGATAATAACAATAGTTAATTGTGTCTTAAAAACTTACCATGGTTGGGCACAGTGCCTCACCTATAATCCCAGCACTTTGGGAGGCCGAGGCAAGCAGATCTCTTGAGCTCAGGAGTTGAAGACCAGCCTGGACAACATGGTAAAATCCCCATCTCTTCAAAAAATACAATAATTATCTGGGCATGGTGGCACACACCTGTAGTCCCAGCTACTTAGTAAGGCTGAGGTGGGAGGATCACTTGAGCCCAGGAGGCGGAGGTTGCAGTAAGCCAAGATTGTGCCACTGCACTTCAGCCTGGGCAGTAGAGCCAGCCTGACCTTGTCTCAGAAAAAAAAAAAAAATTGACCATGTGCCAAGCACTATTCTTTCTCACAGCTCTGTGGAGGAGATTCGCTGGTGCTAGCCTCATTTCACAGATGAGGAGACAAGCACAGAGAGGGAGTAAACTGCACAAGGACACACAGATGGTAGATGGCAGAGCTGGGGCCTCACAGTGGCTCACGCCTGTAATCCCAGCACTTTGGGAAGCGAGGTGGGCAGATCACTTGAGGTCAGCAGTTTGAGACCAGCCTGGTCAACGTGGTGAAACCCCATCTCTACTAAAAGTACAAAAAATTAGCTGGGCATGGTGGTGGCACCTGTAATCCCAGCTACCCAGGAGGCTGAGGCAGGAGAATTGCTTGGTCCCGGGAGGCAGAGGTTGCAGTGAGCTGAGGTCACTCCCCTGCACTCCAGCCTGGGTGACAAAGTGAAACTCCATCTCAAAATAAAATAAAACAAAACAAAATAAAATAAAATATGGCAGAGCTGGGATTAAAACCCAGGCAGGCAGTGGCTCCTGGGCCCGGCCACTAAGCACCCTGCTATTGTCTTGCCCTGAGTGTGCCACATTCTCCGGACATACTCCCGAGGCTGAGGAGGAAGGGACATGGCGATGGCCCAAGGGAACATCAGGGTGCTGAAACTGTCCCCATAGAGTTGAAAAGAATTGCATGCCAGGTCTGGACAGAAATAGAGTTATAGGCCAGGCATGGTGGCTCATGCCTGTAATCTCAGAACTTTGGGAGGCCGATGCAGGCGGATCACTTGAGGTCAGGAGTTTGAGACCAGAATGGCCAACATGGTGAAACCCCATCTCTAATAAAAAATACAAAAATTAGCTGGGCATGGTGGCTCACGCCTGTAGTCCCAGCTACTTGGGAGGCTGAGACAGGAGAATAGCTTGAACCCAGGAGACAGAGGTTGCAGTGAGCCGAGATCGCACCATTGCACTCCAGCCTGGGCATCGCAGCAAGACTCTGTCTCAAAAAAAAAAAGAAGTAGAGTTATTATGAAGCATTAATCAGGCTGCACTGTGGCCCACTTCCTTGTTGCTAAAAGTCATGTAGCACTAGATAGTGACCATTTGCATCCGCCTTGTTCCTAGAGACAGGATCTCTGATACTAGGGTCATACGGCTTTTGTTTAAGGATGACTTATGATGTTTTTCAGACCCAGAATTCCAGCAACTAGTTCGAAGACCCCCACAGAGGAATGGGATCAGCATGAGAATACAGCTTCTTCCTCTCCCTAGTCCTTGATTTTACCCTGCACACTCCCACCAGTCAATCATCTCCACACTTTGGCCCATTCCAAAACCCTTGCCCCAGACTCCTTGGATAGATGGTTTCCTCCTATTTCCACTTGGCAGCCCTACCATTAACCCTCTTTCTCTGCTGCAACTGAGTGTCTCAGCATGTTGACCTGCTGTGTGCTTTGGGTAACAAACCTATTACAATTACAGCACCGCTTCCTGGTACGTGGCAGGTACAGTGTCAACATTTAGAAGGAGCAGAAGTGCACGAGGAGAGAGAGAACCTGTCAACACAACAGCACCAGGAGCAGCACACATAGCGCGTCAAGGGGTCTGGGCAATGGTGTGCCATAACTACACCCGAAAGCAGCCCACCAAGGAAATGCTAGTGTCCCTGGAAGACCAGCCCAACGTGGCAGGAACACATCGTAGCCCCTAGCGTGGTCCAAGCAATAGCAGCAAGCAAGATAATAAGCAAATAAGGCAGCATCCCTGGAGACGCTGATGGCAAGGAACAGGCGCCATCAGGGGTTACAAGCAAGGCACCCACCAAGGAACTGGAAGGACAGAGAACATCCAAGAGGAATGGCTGTGAGGCAAGGCAGGATGACTGCACCAGCAGAATTTACTCCGTCACCGCCAGCCAGCGAGACCCGCAGATGCTCAGGTTAGTCAGGTGAATGGACACCAACTGCAGTTTAGGCTAGATTGTAGTGTTGAAAACTTGGAAGCATTATCTGGTGCTAGCCTCTGTCTCTCTCTCTCTCTTTTTTTTTTAGATGGAGTTTCACTCTTGTTGCCTAGGCTGGAGTACAGTGGCGCCATCTCTGCTCCCCGCAACCTCCGCCTCCCGGGTTCAAGCGATTCTCCTGTCTCAGCCTCCCAAGTAGCTGGGATTACAAGCGCACACCACCATATCTGGCTAATTTTTGTATTTTTAGTAGAGATGGGGTTTCACCACATTGGCCAGGCTGGTCTCAAACTCCCAACCTCAGGTGATCCGCCTGCCTCAGCCCCCCAAAGTGCTGGGATTACAGGCGTGAGCTACCACGTCTGGCCTGCGCTAGCCTCTCTTGAGACTAAAAGTTTTTCTCCTAGAAAACCAAACAGTAGAATTTGTTCCTGGCTGGAAAAGACCAGGATAGATGGAATTTGACCTAAAAAGTAAGTTCACTGGCATTTCTATCTCCCTCTGTGCTCTGTTCTGAAGTGCCATGAATTTTAAAAAAATAATAAAAAGCTCCCTATGTCATGATATTTCCCTATAGAATAAAGACTAGTGTGAAATAACGTTTATTTCAGGACATGGTGATGCCTCAGCCGGGGAACTTAAGACACCAAGTTTCCAGATGCTGGGTAATGGAAATCAGGTCAGGCAGTTAATAAACAGCACAGGAGTAAACAGCTTAATTTATCCTTCAAAGAGAGAAGACCCAGCCAGACCTGGGTACAGTATCTATATTGCTGGGGCGAAATTGCACTTCTGATTATCATGTCACTGCTATACAAACCCCCAGCCTCCCATGGAGCCGGCGTTTCAGAGGTGAGCCATTCCCTTTTCCATCCCAATTGTCAACTGCTCCTGTCATCACCGAGCTCACGCTGAGCCACTACTGAGCTTGACAGACAATAACAATAACAACAACAAAAAGCCCTGCCTGGAAAATTATTGTTTTTATACACAATACAGATCATTCAGTAGATGGTTTCCAAAACATCCACCCACCCACGAACACGGTCTCTAGTCCTACCCGCTTGGATCCAAGCATACCCCAAGGGTGCACAGTCCTTTACCAGGCCACTGTGGTCTTAGACCGACATCATGATTCGTAGTGTGCTTGCTTCTATTAGTGTCAGTAGAGAAGAATAAGAATGGCAGGGGAGAACAAATCCACAGAGTCCCAAGTGCAGAAATTAAAGCTGGTATGCTTTTAAATTCATTGTATTCCTCAAATAAATACATATGATGATGGAAAATTTAGAAAACACAGATGGGGGGCAGACACAGTGGCGCATGCCTATAATCCCAGCACTTTGAAAGGCTGAGGCAGGAGGATTGCTTGAGGCCAGGAGTTCAAGAGCAGCGTGTGCAACATAATGAGATCCTGTACTAGAAAAAAACTTAAAAGTTAGCCAGGGCCAAGCATGGTGGCTCATGCCTGTAATCCCAGCATTTTGGGAGGTTGAAGCGGGCAGATCGTTTGAGCTCAGGAGTTTGAGACCAGCCTGAGCAACATAGTAAGACCTCGTCCCTAGAAAAAAGATAAAAATTAGCCAGGTATGCTGGTGTGTGCCTATAGCCCCAGCCACTAGGGAGGCTGAGGTGGGAGGTTGGGTTGAGCTTGGGAGGCAGAAGTTGCAGTGAACTGAGATCACACCACTGTACTCCAGCCTGGGTGACAGAGCCAGACCCTGTCTCAAATAAATAAATAAATAAATAATTTTTTAAAAAAATTAACCAGGCGTTGTGGCATGCACCTGCTGTAGTCCTAGCTGCTCGGGAGGCTGAGACAACAGGATACTTGAGCCCAGGAATTTAAGGTAACAGTGAGCTATGATGGTGCCATCATACTCCAGCCTGGGCAACAGAGAGACCCTGTCTCAAAATAATAATAATAATAAACACAGATGGAGGGGAATATGTTTCCAGGTCAGGAAACCAATATATATTTCTGCATAATTTTATTTCAGAAGATAAGTTAACAAGATCCAGCTTCTTGGTGATTATCAAAAAGTTCATTCATACAAAGAAGAACAAAAATTAATCAGCCCAAACTATCTCCCTATGAACTTACTAAGAGCAACTGTATCTAGTGCGATGGACTCCACTGGAGTTTTCTGGGAGGTTATATCCACATGTACAAAATGGAAGGTTCCCCAGAGAGCTCACTCACATAATCCTGATTATACATGCTCAGAGCAAATAGGATAGGAAAACCAAGGAGAGCCAGTTGAAAGTAAAGGAATTGGGGATGTTAGTATCCAGGCTGGGTACCAAAAATCCAGGGCCCCTTGCTCCTTGCCATTGGTTCCTACCCTGTAGGACACAGATCCCTACGGGTTAATTGCAATGAGGTTGCAAATCCATACTCAGTAGTTTCCAGCAATAAGGTAATTAAAAGTATAACGACTATCACATGAGGCTCATTAAACTCTTTGATATTAACAAGGGGTCCTCACCCTCATAAAGTTTGAGGCCATTACTCTAGTCTGCCTTTGACTCTTAAGGCTTGAGTGCTTAAGTTATCTCCCATCTAGGTCCTATACATCCTCACTCAGAGTATGTGGTCAGGAGCCTTCACTCTCCAGGGGGCCTCAGACACCTCGCTTCTCTTTTATTTATTTATTTATTTTTTAACTTTTCTTTATTATTATTATACTTTTAAGTTTTAGGGTACATGTGCACATTGTGCAGGTTAGTTACATATGTATACATGTGCCATGCTGGTGCGCTGCACCCACTAACTCGTCATCTAGCATTAGGTATATCTCCCAATGCTATCCCTCCCCCTCCCCCCACCCCACTTCTCTTTTATTTTTAATTTAATTTTTATTTTTATTTTTTTACAAAAATAGAGACGGAGGTCTCGCTATGCTGCCCAGGTTAGTCTCAAACTTCTGGGTTCAAGAAATCCTCCCATCTCAGCCTCCCAAAGTGCTGGGATTACAGACAGGCACTGCACCCAGCCCACCTCACTTCTCAATGCAAGGCCTCAGTTTCCCCTTAACACCATCATCAGTCCCAGTGATGGCAATAAGGGGCACACATGGAATAGCTAGCCCACAAAGGTCATTTTAGGAGTAGTGGGATAATATGTGCCCATTCCCTAGAGACATTCATTTCAAAAAACAATGTTACCTTAATGATGTCGAGTTTTCCCAAGAACTCCAATTATAGCCCGCCACTCCAATTAACACATCACTTGCCAAATACGTATCCAAACGGATTTTCTAATCACAGAAAAGCTATTGCAAGTGAAGCAAATGGATAATTTCTTACATAGAATTAGGTTCTCAAGATTTATGGGGTCTTTTGGGGGTTTTTTTGAGACTGAGTTTCACTCTTGTTGCCCAGGCTAGAGTGCAATGGTGTGATCTCGGCTCACCGCAACCTCCATCTCCCAGGTTCAAGCGATTCTCCTGCGTCAGCCTCCTGAGTAGCTGGGATGACAGGCCCCTGCCACCACACCCAGCTAATTTTTGTATTTTTAGTAGAGACGGGGTTTTGCCATGTTGACCAGGCTGGTCTCGAACTGCTGACCTCACGTGATCCGCCTGCCTCAGCCTCCCAAAGTGCTGGGATTACAGGCATGAGCCACTGCACCTGGTCAAGATTTATGTCTTCTATTTCCATGTCTGTCATCAGAGTCTTATCTATTTGTCCAGTCTCAGATTCTCAAGATGCAAAAATGGATTAAAAATTCACTCCATTGAGAATGTTTGCAATTTTTTAGGGATGCTATAAATACAAAGTACGTTTATATTATCAGGTTTATATTATATCACAATGTAAAATTTTGTAGACAATATGAAATAAGCATTTGAAAAAGAACTAAAATATTTATTTAAAATATACCAGATAAAAGATATATTTTATTATTTTTCGACCTATAAAAGCTAACCATGTCAACTTAAGCTAGAAAATTGCTGGCCAAATATTACATAGTATTTTGTCCCTGAGACGTCAGCCAGCAGAAAATTATAGAAAAGAATAAGATCTGATGTCAGAGACGTGGGTTCAAACCTCAGCTGTGTCACTCACAGACCTCCATATTGGGTTAACTTGTTTTCCTCATTTCTAAATCATAATAATCACAATACTGCAAAGAGGATTGAATGTAATAATGCAAGCAGAAGCAAAGACGCTGTGGAAATATTCTCTATTAGAGAGAATATTGGAAGGCTGAGGCAGGAGGATTTCTTGAGGCCAGGAGTTCCAGGGCAGCCTGGACAACATAGTGAGACCCTGTACTATGAAAAATTTAAAAGAAAGCCTGGCGGCTCACACCTGTAATCCCAGCACTTTGGTATTACAGTCTAGCCAGCTAGTCAAGAACCAGAACTAACCTTAACCACCGGGCATGGTGGCTCACGCCTATAATCCCAGCACTTTGGGAGGCCGAGGCAGGCGGATCACCTGAGGTTGGGAGTTCAAGACCACCCTGACCAACATGGAGAAACCCCGTCTCTACTAAAAGTACAAAATTAGCAGGTTGTGGTGGCACATGCCTGTAATCCCAGCTACTTGGGAGGCCGAGGCAGGAGAATCACTTGAACCCAGGAGGCGGAGGTTGTGGTGAGCCGGAGATTGTGTCATTGCACTCCAGCCTGGGCAACAAGAGCAAACCTCCATCTCAAAAAAAAAAAAAAAAAAAAGAAGAAACCTTAACTAGGGTGACGTGTGGGCAGTGGGGGAAACACCCCCAATCCTACTGGAAACGTCTGCCGCCTCTGCACCCCTCTTACCATGAGGATGCCCCATTGAGAGAAACAAAAAGTAGCTCCCCACAAAAGAGCTTGTACAAAAGATACGTCTTCACCATAAATCCCTTAATGCTGGCTTAGCAGTTGACATGTGCTCAAATATTTTTTTAATAAAAACCCACCATCAGAATCATGTGATAGACTCAAAAAACTCACTGCTTAGTTCTTACCAGGATTGTCATCTCATATCTTGCAAACAAAAGAAATAAAATAGCATATTTGTTCTAAAAAAGCATCCTTGTATCCCTCATCGTTACCATTTGTCTTATTACCTACACCCTGCTTGCACTTGCTATGCCCACCAAGGTCACAGACATGACCCTTTGCCTGCCTCATTGTAATAGAGTTCATCCCTGGGTGCTTCTCAGAGTTGTACAGAAGTAAAAAACAAACACAAAAAAACTGTATCTAAGTAACATATTTTTAAAATATTAACACAAAACTCTGAATTTTAGAACATATAGAGGCCCTGAGGTCAAACATCTTCCCTCAACATATGTTATTACCATTCAAGTTACAATCAATTTGGGTTACTGGAGGTTACTATAGATCCAGCTTCCAACCAAAAGGAGCTTCTCATCTGATGCTTTTCTATGCAGTGTTTTGTGGTTTTTTTGGTTTGTTTGTTTTTTGGTTTTGCATTCATTTTTTTAGAGACAGAGTCTCATCCTGTTGCCCATGTTGGAGTGCAGTGGTGCTATCACAGTTCACTGTAACCTCTAATTCCTGGGCTCAAGTGATCCTCCCACCTCAGCCTCAGAAAGAAAGATGTAATCATTATAAACATTCAAAAATAAGACAATTTTTTTCATAACCTCACCAACCGAAGATAGCCATTAGTATTTTTGCCACAGATACTTAGTCTTTTTCTTCCTATGCAAGAATATGCATTCTTTAACAATAATACAATCATATGCATACGTGTATTTAACCTTTTTTGAATTTTTTTTTTCTTTTTTGAGACAAGGTCTGGCTCTGTTGCCCAGGGTGGGTTTCAATGGCACTATCTCAGCTCACTGCAACCTCTGCCTCCTAACCTCAAGTGATCTGCCCACTTTGGCCTCCCAAAGTGCTGGGATTACAGGCGTGAGACACTATGCCTGGCTTAACCTTTTTTTTTTTTTTAATTTTAATAACAGCATAGTGTCAGCATTTTTCCATGTCATGAAAATGTCCTTCCTCAGCACTATTTTAAATGATGCTTTGGCATCCCACTATACGGACTTACTGTGTGTTATTTAACCAACCCTCTGTGGCTGAGCCTTTAAGTTGTTTCAAACTTTCATTATTATAAACAATACTAAGATGGACATCCTTGCAGCTAAAACTTTGGGGACATCCACAGTTATCTCCTCAGGATAAGTTACAGTAGCAAAATTGCTGAGTCAAGAGGTATACAAAAATTTGACTTTGACATTGATATGGTTTGGCTGTGTCCCCACCCAAATCTCATCTTGAATTGTAACTTCCACAGTTTGAACCGGGTGGGAGGTGATTGAATCATGGGAGCGGGGCTTTCCTAACGTTGTTCTTGTGATACTGAATGAGTCTCATGATATCTGACGGTTTTTTGTCTTTCTTTTTTTTTTAGAGGGAGTTTCGCTCTTGTCGCCCAGGCTGGAGGGCAATGGCTCAATCTCCTGTCACTGCAACCTCTGCCTCCTGGGTTCAACTGATTGTTCTGCCTCAGCCTTCTGAGTACCTGGGATTAGAGGCGCCCACCACCACGCCTGGCTAATTTTTGTATTTTTAGTAGAGACTGGGTTTCACCATTTAGCCGGGCTGGTCTTGAACTCCTGACCTCAGGTGATCTGCCTGCCTCAGCCTCCCAAAGTGCTGGGATTACAGGCATGAGCCACAACACCCGGCTAATCTGATGGTTTATCAGGGGTTTCCGCTTTTGCATCTTCCTCATTTTCTCTTGCCGCTGCCATGTAAGAGGTGCCTTTCACCTCCCACCATGATTCTGAAGCCTCCCCAGCCATGTGGAACTGTAAGTCCAGTTAAACCTCTTTTTCTTCCCAGTCTTGGGTATGGCTTTATCAGCAGCATGAAAACGGACTAATACAGATGTATACCTTTGCATTTTGGTTTTCCAAAGCAAGATTCAGAAGTCTTTGAATAAGCAAAGAAACCTCAAAAGTACTTTGTGACTATCATTCATTGAAACTAAACACTAGTGTAGTCCTGTTTCATCTCTCATTGATGGACACATAGGAAGAACTGAGGAGGAAAATGTGTTATTCAACCTAACAACTATTTAATAATTTGTCATAATCTGGCACACAGCAATTCCTTAATCAATGTTTCTTCAGTGGGCCCCAGGCCCCTTCTCTCATTAGGCCTATTCTTTTTTTCTTTTAATTTTTTTTATGTCAATAGCTTTAGAAATACAAGTGGTTTTTGGTTGCATGTATGAATTCTATAGTGGTGTACACTGTACCCAATAAGCCCCATTTTTTTTTTCTTAAATGGAGTCCTGCTCTTGTTGCCCAGGCTAGAGTGCAACGGCACGATCTCAGCTCACTGCAACCTCCACCCCCTGGGTTCAAGCGATTCTCCTGCCTCAGCCTCCCAAGTAGCTGGGATTACAGGCGCCTGCCACCACACCTGGCTATTTTTGTATTTTTAGTAGAGACGGGGTTTCACCATGTTAGCCAGGCTGGTCTCGAACCCTTGACCTTGTGATCCACCCACCTCAGGCTTCCAAAGTGTTGGGATTACAGGCGTGAGCCACCACGCCTGGCCAAACTCCATTCTTGTGGTGGAGCAGTATCTGCATGGTCTCATAGCATGTCCTATACCAAAAGAAATATGAGTCAGTTTTCTCTGACCAAGTTTTCCTCAGAACTCTCTACATATACACAAAACCAAAATAAACCTCTAAATATAGTCCCAGTAAATGTCCCATCCAATGTCTTAGAACTAGTTTTTAATATCACCCATAGGGACTTACTCTCTACTCAGGGGTGTCCAATCTTTTTACTTCCTTGGGCCACATTGGAAGAATAATTATCTTGGGCCACACATAAAATACACTAATGGCTGGGTGCAGTGGCTCACACCTGTAATCCTAGCACTTTGGGAAGCTGAGGCAGGTGGATCACTTGAGCTCAGGAGTTTGAGACCATCCTGCGCAACACGGCAAAACTTCATCTCTACTAAAATACAAAAATTAGCTGGGTGCGGTGGCGCATGCCTGTAATCCCAGCTACTCTGGAGGCTGAGGCAGAAGGATCACTTGAACCCAAGAGGTGGAGGTTGCAGTGAGCAGAGATCACACCACTACACTCTAGCCTGGGCTACAGGGCAAGACTCTGTGTCTAAAAACTAATTAATTGGCCAGGTGCAGTGGCTCCCACCTGTAATCCCAGCACTTTGGGAGGCTGAGGTGGGAGGATCACTTGAGGTCAGGAGTTCGAGACCAGCCTGGCCAACATGATGCAACCCCGTGTCTCCTAAAAATATAAAATTAGCTGGCATGGTGGCGGGGGCCTGTAATCCCAGCTACTTGGGATGCTGAGGCAGGAGAATTGCTTGAACCTCGGAGGCAGAGGTTGCAGTGTACCACGATCACGCCACTGTACTCCAGCCTAGGCAACAGAGCAATACTCCATCTCAAAAAAATAGTAATTAATTAATGACTTAATTTAATTTACTTTAATACATTAACACTAACAATAGCTGACGAGCTTTTAAAAAAATCTCAAAAAGACACATAATTTTTAAATAATGTTTACAAATTTGTGTCAAGTCCCATTCAAAGCATTCCTGGGCCACATGCGGCCTGCAGGCCACAGGTTGGACAAGCTTGTTCTACATGCTTATGCACAGGGGTCATGAAACAAGATCCAGCCAGTCGCAGTGGTTCATGCCTTGTAACCCCAGCACTTTGGGAAGCCAAGGCAGGTAGATCGCTTGAGCCCAGGAGTTCAAGGCAGAACCTAAAACCCTAGCTCTGCAAAAAATAAAAAAATTAGCCAGTGTACTGGTGCACACCTGTAGTCCCAGCTACTAGGGAGGAGGAAAACTTGACCCCAGGAGTTCGAGGCTGCAGTGAGCTGTGATCACGCCACTGCACTCCAGCCTCGGTGACACAGCAAGAACCTATCTAAGAAAGAAAGGAAGAAAGAAAGAAAAAGAAAGAAAGGAAGGAAGGAAGGAAGGAAGGAAGGAAGGAAGGAAGGAAGGGAAAGAAAGAAAGGAGGAAGGAAGGAAGAAAGGAAGGAAGGAAGAAAGGAAGAAAGAAAGAGATAGAGAGAGAAAGAGAGAGAGAGAAAGAAAGGAAGGAAGGAAGAAAGAAAGAAAAAGAAAGAAAGAAAGAAAAGAAAGAAAGAAAGAAAAGAAAGAAAGAAAGAAAGAAAGAAAGAAAGAAAGAAAGAAAGAAAGAAAGAAAGAAAGGGAAATAATATCCTCTATATAAATCTGGAAGGACCAAAAGTTAAATTATGCTCACCTTTCCTGATTAAATTCAACTGTGAAAAAAACCCTATAATATTAGAATTAATAAGTAGTTTGACTGATGTTTCAGAATTATTGCTAATGTAAATGCCCAAATGTCCCTTGCTATACATGCGGCTACATCTTTATCACCCTGAAATTGCTACCCTAACACTCTTTCTCTCCTGCTGTTTTCAAGGAGTAAGAGAGAAAGGATTGGTAGTAAAAAGAATGAAGGGGACAGTTCAAGATTTAGGAAAGTTTGACATCTTTTCCATGATCAGAAAGTGGAGTTTTTTGGTTTTTTGGTTTTTTTTTTTTTTTTGAGACGGAGTCTCGCTCTGTCACCAGGCTGGAGTGCAGTGGCGCATCTCGGCTCACTGCAACCTCCGCCTCCCGGGTTCAAGCAATTCTCCTGCCTCAGCCTCCGGAGTAGCTGGGACTACAGGTGAGCGCCACCACGCACAGCTAATTTTTGTACTTTTAGTAGAGACGGGGTTTCACCATGTTAGCCAGAATGGTCTCAATCTCTTGACCTCATGATCCGCCGACCTCAGCCTCCCAAAGTGCTGGGATTACAGGCGTGAGCCACCGCACCCGGCCAAGTTTTTTGGTTTTCCGTTTTGTTTTTTGAGACAGAGTCTGTCTTGTTGCCCAGACTGGATTGCCCAGACTGGACTGCAATGGCTCCATCACAACTCACTGCAGCCTTGACCTCCTGGGCTAAAGTGATCCTCCCATATCAGCCTCCTAAGTAGCTGAGACTACAGTGGTGCATTACCACCTGTAGCTAATTTCTAAATTTTTTTAGGGATGGGGTCTCATCATGTTGTCCAGGCTAGTCTCGACCTCTTGAGCTCAAGCAATTCTCCCACCTTAGCCTCCCAAAGTGCTGGGATTACAAGCGTAAGCCACCATTCCCACCCCAAAAAGTGATTTTTCGGATCACGAAGTCAGGAGATCGAGACCATACTGGCTAACATGGTGAAACACCGTCTCTACTAAAAATACAGAAAAAAAATTAGCTGGGCGTGGTGGCGGGCGACTGTAGTCCCAGCTACTCCGGAGGCTGAGGCAGGAGAATGGCGTGAACCCAGGAGGTGGAGCTTGCAGTGAGCCGAGATTGCACCACTGCACTCCAGCCTGGGCGACAGAGCCAGACTCCATCTCAAAAAAAAAAAAAAGTGATTCTTTCTTTCTTTCTTTCTTTCTTTCTTTCTTTCTTTCTTTCTTTCTTTCTTTCCTTCCTTCCTTCCTTCTCTCCTTTCTTTCTTTCCTTCCTTCCTTTCTTTCTTCCTTTTCTTTTCCTTCCTTTCTTTCTTTCTCTTTCTTTCTCTCTCTTTCTTTCTTTCTTTCCTTTCTTTCTTTCTTCCTTTTTTCCTTCCCTCCTTCCCTCCTTCCTTCCTTTCTTCCTTCCTTTTTTTTTTTTTTTGAGGGAGTCTCACACTGTTGCCCAGGCTGAAGTGCAGTGGCACCATCTCAGCTCACTGCAACCTCCGCCTCCCAGGTTGAAGCAGTTCTCCTGCCTCTGCTTCCCAAGTAGCTGGGATTACAGGTGCGTGCCATCACGCCTGGCTAATTTTTGTATTTTTAGTAGAGATGGGGTTTCACCATGTTGGCCAGGCTGGTCTCAAACTCCTGACCTCAGGTGATTTGCCTGCCTCGACCTCCCAAAGTGCTGGGATTTACAGGCGTGAGCCACTGCGCCCACTCCAAAAAGTGATTTTTAAAAGTATCAGGGCTGAGCACGGTGGCTCATGCCTATAATCCCAGTACTTTGGGAGGCCAAGGCAGGCTGATCACTTGAGCTCAGGAGTTTGAGACCAGCCTGGGCAACATAGTGAGACCCTATCTCTACTAAAATTACAAAAATTAGCCAGACATGGTGGTGGTCACCTTTAATCCAAGCTACTCAGGAGGCTGAAGCATGAGAATTGCTTGAACACGAAAGGTGGAGGTTGCAGTGAGCCAGGATCACTCCACTGCACTCCAGCCTGGGCAACACAGAGACACCCTGTCTCAAAAAAAAAAGTACCACCTTGGCAATAACTTGATCATTTGGAAGACATTATCCTTCCCATAAGAGCATAAATTTAATACAGAAAAAACATTGTCAGGCCGTGCATGGTGCCTCATGTCTACAATCCCAGCAGTTTGGTAGGCTGAGGTGCCTTGGGAGGATCCCTTGAGCCCAGGAGTTTGAGACCAGCCTGGGCTACATGGTGAAACCCCATCTCTACAAAGAATACAGAAAGGCCGGGTGCGGTGGCTCAGGCCTGTAATCCCAGCACTTTGGGAGGCCGAGGCGGGCAGATCACCTGAGGTTGGGAGTTTGAGACCAGCCTGACCAACGTGGAAAAACCCTGTCTCTACTAAAAATATAAAATTAGCTGGGCGTGGTGGTGCATGCCTGTAATCCCAGCTACTCTGGAGGCTGAGGCAGGAGAATCGCTTGAACCTGGAAGGCGAAGTTTGCTGTGAACCAAGATCGTGCCATTGCACTCCAGCCTGGGCAACAAGGGCAAAAACTCCATCTCAAAAAAAAAGAATACAAAAAAAATTAGCCGGGCACGGTGGCATGTGCCTGTAGTCCCAACTACTTGGGAGGCTGAGGAGGTAGGATCACTTGAGCCAGGGGAGGTCGAGTCTGCACTGAGCCAAGATCGTGCCACTACATTCCAGTCTGAGCAACAGAGTAAGACCCTGTCTCAAGAAATAAATATAAGCAAAAAAAAAAAAAAAAAAAAGAAGAAGAAGAAGAAGAAGAAAGAAAGAAAAACTTTGTCATAGGGTGTCAGAACAAGTTACTACTGAATGGCCACTGAACAGGGCCATGGAGGGGGCTCACATTTGTGTATATTTGAAATCACAGGCTAGCTGCCATGGCAAAACTCTGTGCTTGGAAAGAGAACTAGGGTCATAGTTGTGTGGAAACTGAGGTTCTCTTAGGACCATGGGGACCACACAGCCCATGAGTAGATACCAAGTTCCCAATCCAGCTGGGTGCTGAGGAATCCTGAGTTAAACTGTGAGCCACTTAAGGGCAATGTTGGGGCTCAGAAAGCAATACCCCAAATGAAGGCTTCAAAAGAGTTTCTCTTAGCTTCTCCTGCCTTCCTGTCTCCAGCCCCTCATTCTCCCCCTGGGCTAGCCATAGAAACTAGAATCTCTCTTCCTCAAAGTGGATCATAGAAACCAGAACCCCTTTTTCCCCAAACCAGCCATAAAACCTACAAATATTACTCTAATTTTCCCCTGCCTTTCTGTGTAAAAACTGGTCATAAAGAAATTATCTGGGCTGGGCGCAGTGGCTCACGCCTGTAATCCTAAGACTTTGGGAGGCCAAGGTGGGCAGATCACCTGAGGTCAGGAGTTTGAGATCAACCTGGCCAACATAGTGAAAATCTGTCTCTACTAAAAATACAAAAAATTAGCTGGGTGTGGTGGCACGTGCCTGTAATCCCAGCTACTTGAGAAGCTGAGGCAGGAGAATCCCTTGAACCTGGGAGGCAGAGGTTGCAGTGAGCTGAGATCGCGCCGTTGCACTCCAACCTGGGCAACAAGAGCAAAACTCTGTCTCAGAAAAAAAAAAAAGAAAGAAAACAAAAGAAATTATCTGACCTATCTTGTTTGACTGTAGGTCATAAGACCCCCATTCCAGAGACAGCCAGGCCCCATTCCCACAAGGAAGGAATGCTGCATAGAGAACCCAAGAAGAATCTAAACAGACAGGCCCTGCTGGGCTTCCCCACTCAGTCTATTAGCACAGATTAATTATAATGACTTCTGGCCAATCATTATTTCGACATGGCTGTGCATACTTTGTTGAGCCCAAGCATAAAAATAGACAGTTTCGGCCGGGCGCGGTGACTCACGTCTATAATCCTAGCACTTTGGGAGGTCGAGGCGGGTGGATCACCTGAGGTCAGGAGTTCAAGACCAGCCTGGACAACATGGTGAAACCCCGTCTTTACAAAAAAATACAAAAATTAGCCAGGCATGATGGCGGGTGCCTGTAATCCCAGGTACTCAGAAGGCTGAGGTAGGAGAATCACTTGAACTCGGGAAGCAGAGGTTGCAGTGAACCGAGGTCATGCCACTGCACTCCAGCCTGGGCAATTGAGCGAGACTCCATCTCAAAAAAAAAAAAAAAAAAAATAGGCAATTTCCCCTATATCTTTGGTTCTTCATTCTGAAGTCTCCTGTGTCATGAAAAACTATGATTAAATAAATTAGTATGCCTTTTCTCCTATAAATTGGCCTTTTGTGAGTTGATTTTTCAGCAAACCTTCAGAGGACAAAGAAGTGTTCCCTGCTTGTCCCTACAGCAAGGAGCCGAACTTACCCATCCTTGCAACCACTGTCCCTAGCACAGGGCCTAACACTGGATGAATGAACTAAAGCACCATCAAAAGTTTCACCTGCTGGAAGATGAGCTTCCCCAATGCTAAAAGATCTTTCAGGACAGCAATAGCCATCACAGCTGTTTCCCAAGACCTGAACTTGCCTCTGTTGACCACTAAGGATTAGCCCTTGGGAAAACACTGGAACATTAGAATCCCTTCTTTGCATTCAACACCGCCTCCTCCTTTTTGCTGCTTTTCCTCCTAAGAATGCAGAGCCCTAATTTTGCCTGGGCCCCCTGTTGGGCCCACGGTCCACTGAGGCCCGCCGGCACTCTGACATTTGCTCACCAAAACAAAATCCTGTTTTCTCAGAACTTCATTTGCAGGGGAGGAACAGATACAGTCACACTTGTGTTTCAATTTCAGTTAACCTCACTGAACTGTAATTTCCTCATCTGTAAAAAGGGTAATATTTCTTTCCAACATCAAGTTATATAAACTACTTCACATAGGGCCTAACAGTACTTAATAAGTAGCAGCTAGTACTGTTATAATTAAAGACAACAAAGGAATCCCAGCAATACAGATGGGTGAAGGAAAGGAGAAGTTGAGGAAGTCTCTTTTAGAAATAGCTAAATCAGGTCGGGCTTGGTGGCTCATGCCTGTAATCCCATCACTTTGGGAGGCTGTGGCGGGCAGATCACTTGAGGTCAGAAGTTCGAGACCAGCCTGGCCAACATGGTAAAACCCCATCTCTACTAAAAATACAAAAATTAGCCGGGTGTGGTGATGAATGCTTGTAATTCCAGCTACTTGAGAGGCTGAGGATAGAGAATCGCTTGAACCCAGGAGGCAGAGGTTGCAGCGAGCTGAGATGGCACCACTACAGTCCAGCCTGGACAACAGAGTGAGACTCCTTCTCAAAAAAAAAAAAAAGGAAAAATAGCTAAGTCAGTAGATAGAAGAAATAAGACCTAGTGTTTGATAAATTAGTAGAGTGGCTACAATAAACAATAATCTATTGTATATTTTTAAATAGCTAGCAGAGAATACTTCAAATGTGCCCAGTATAAAGAAAAGAAAAATGTATGAGGTGATAGGTATTCCAATTACTCTAATTTGATTATTACACATTATATAAATGTATCAAAACATCACACGTACCCCACAAATATGTACATCTATTAAGCATCGGTAAGAAACAATGGCTGGAGGCCGGGCTCAGTGGCTAATGCCTGTAATCCCAGCACTTTGGGAGGCCGAGGCGGGCAGATCACCTGAGGTCAGGAGTTCAAGACCAGTCTGGTCAACATGGTGAAACCCCATCTCTACTAAAAATACAAAAATTAGGTGAGCGTACTGGTGTGTGCCTGTAGTCCCAGCTACTCGGGAGGCTGAGGCAGGAGCATTGCTTGAACCCAGGAGGCGAAGGTTGCAGTAAGCTGAGATCACGCCATTGCACTCCAGCCTGGGCAACAGAGCAAGACTCCATCTCAAAAAAAAAAAAAAAATGGCTGGGTGTGATGGCTCACAGCTCATGTCTCTACTCCCAGGACTTTGGGAGGCCGAGGTAGGAGGATCACTTGAGCCTAGGAGTTTGAGACCAGCCTGGGCAACATAGTGAGACCGCCATCTCTTAAAAAAAAAATAGCTGAGTCAGATCTTGATTTTTTTATCTAAGCCAATTAAAGTGATCATGACAGGATGGTGATAGACATAGTGAGTAGTCTGTGAGAAGGAAATCATATTTTTGAAGGGATGGCTAATGCTTTAGGTTCAAATTCAGTGTTTAGTGGAAAAATTTTCAAAAAAAGAGAAACCCAAGTCATCTTAACACAGTCTCTCTGTCTCTGTCTCTCTCTCTTTCTTTCTGTGTCTTTCTCTCTGTCTCACTCTCTCTCTCACACACACACACACACACACACACACACAGACACGGAGCTTTCAGGCATCCTTGAAGTCGATAAAATTGTGACCCTAATACATTAAGAAAAATGCCCTAAACCAGCCAAGAGTGAAAATAAACATGACTGAGCAATAAATTATGATCTCCTTCACTCTCCTTCTACCTCCCACATACTTGCGTTTTGCATGGGGAAAAATACAGTCCATATGGAGGCTTTGGCGTGATCAGGACCCACCTCCCGCCCTCTGCACACATGCACGCCCTCCCCCAGGTGACTCCAGGCCCGTGCATCCAGGGGCACTGCATAAACATTAGCTGATGCAGATGGAATGAGCAGATGTCTGCAGTCCCCCCACCCCAGGCTGTGAGGGACAGCCAGTGAGGGTGAAGAGGAGGCGTAGAGGGAAACAGATGCCCTGGTTTCCAGCCCATTTTCCTGGTCCTTAAGTGGCAGTGGTAATGGTGGGAAGAAGCGCTCATTCTGACATTTGATGAACCCCCGCCTCCTTGTGCCTTTTTCTATACCATAGCCCTCAGATCTAGGCAAAATATTGGAGCCAAAGCAGATTGGGGTTCTAATCCTATCCATCCACACGACTAACAAGAAAGCCAGGGCCCAGAGCCTTCAAAAGACTTGACCAACCTCATATACTAGCCTATTGCAGAACCAAAAACAGATTCTAAGTCTTCTCCCTTCTAGACCAGTTCTGCTTTTTCGCATTCTCCTGCTCCCATTGTATGACCCAAGATTAATTATCCAACTTCTCATTAAACAGTATGTGCCAGGCATTGTGGTGGGCATTGGAAACAGTAAGATTCTCCGATAGTGATAATAAAATATTTCTCTGAAGATGCAAAAAAAAAAAAAATTATTCTGAGAGATTGTTGCCAGTTAACATCAAACACCTACTACGTGCCAAGTTCAGTACTATGTGCCAGAAAAGAATAAAATGGATAAGACACTCTTCCTCCTCTCCTTGGGATTCTCCTGGTTTAGACTAGATTCTACTGAGATGGATAAACAGAGAGGAGACTCAGACCATGAATGAACATGGAATAAACACAGATAACAAATAGACATGATTAAATATTTAGATTATGTATTGGCCAGGGGTTAAGTGGATTAATGGAGTGATGAGTTGGGCAGAGTTATGGGATTTCCATGTTTAGACAGAGTGGATTAGGTCGTCTAGTGTATGGAAATGCAAATCGAAACTGCTATAATCAGCATTAACACCCTGTATTCATCTCTAGAGGTGCCTTTCTGTCAAAGGGCGGAAGGAGCAGGACAGACAATGTCTCACCATCTTTATGACATCCTAGTGAGTCAGAGAACCAACACTGTAATTCCCAGGCTCCTGGGGAGGAATCAGATCCAGGGCAGGGAGTGGGAAAGTCAAGAGCCTCTCAAATCTAGTCCTGGCTCCTGTTCACCTCCAGTCCAAATGCCTCCCTGGAACACTTAGGCAATCCAAACAGGCACCAACATGATGATTCATTGTACTACAGCCCTTTTGATCTTTTCCTCAAAGGAAGAGACATTGTGAGTTACCTTGTAATTATTTCTCAAGTCCTTGAAACATGTCTGGGATTCTGTATAGAGCATAAGTTTCTTAAGGGCAGGGACCCATTTTGAATGACCCTAGTCACTTTGCAGCATAACCAGGAAGCCCTGAAGATGCGGCAGCTGTTCTCTACTTTCTTGCTGAATGAGCAAATGCTCTAAAGAGAAGTAACAGAAGAAAAAGATGGTTGTGCCATTGACCAGATGCCGTTCTCGTTGCCCATTCATTTCCTGCCCGCCCTGCACACATCCTGCCCCTAGGAAGCCTGCTCCTGAAACAAGTCTCTACCCGGTCAGTGATTCATTGAGATGTCCCTGAAATCACTTGCTTGACTCCATGTCAACAGAAAGAAAAAGGGGCTATTCATGAATAAGAGTGAGAAGCACCTGAAGGTCTTGCTACTTTGTTTTTATGGAGAGGATTCCATAATCATATTTTCATGGGCATCCCACAGTGTTGCTTGCGAAAAATAAGAGCTTAGGCCTAAGCTCTTGGTTTTGGCTCCAAACGTGAGCTTACTCCCTCCATAACGTTCCTCCCAAACCTGACCCCCATTCACTAGCCAGATAAATGGGAAAGCAAAGTGCTGTGCATGTTTTTTTTTTTTTTTTTTTAATTATTAACCTTTTGTTTCTTCATAGCATCCTGTTGCTTGTGTGCTTTTTGGTTTGGTGGGGGGTTTCAGACAGGGTCTCACTCTGTTGCCCAGGCTGGAGTGCAGTGGTGCGATCTCCACTCACTGCAGCCTTGACCTCTAGGGCTCAAGCAATGCTCCCACCTCAGCCTCCCACATGCCACCATGCCCAGCTAATTTTTTTCTCTTTTTTTTTAGTTTTTTATAAAGACGGGGTCTCCCTATATTGCCCAGGCTGGTCTGAATTTCCTGGGCTCAAGTGATCCTCCTGCCTCGGCCTCCCAAAGTGCTGAGATTACAGGCGTGAGCCACCATGCTCAGCCCATGTTACTTCTTCATAGCATCATCGGACGTCTTGTCTGTCATCTAGGCCTCTATCATGGATGAATGCTAATTTACAAAGCAGTTCTAGGAGTGATAAAATCTGGGCATGGTGGAGTGCGGGGTAGACAGTGGAGAGCGCTGGGTGTGACTCCAGATCCTGATGCTGCATTAGACACATGACAATCTGCATATGTTAAATAGCCTAAATTATCCATTCTACGAGGTATTCACATCTCAGAGCATGACGTAACACTCTCCTAATGCGATGGATCCTCACCTGGGCTTCCTGATTCCTGGGAGGTGACAAAGGTAGTGGTCTGCAAGCTATATATATTTTTTAATTTCTCAAATTAGGAAACCAGGATTTTGTCTCTAATGCCTTCAACTGCCCCACACAACAAATTCTGGTTATTCCATATAATGAATCCCTAAGGGCCTCTTTAAATTTGACCCTCTTCCCATGGATCCTGTGTTTTAAACAGTCCTATCAATAAAAAAAACAAAAACAAAACAACAACGAAAGCAGCATCATGTTAAATGCTATAACGATATACAAGTTTTACTTGTCAGCTAAGATAAAGAAATAAATAAGTGGCATTCTATAATCATAATTTAAGAAGAAATATCACAACCTTCTAATGCAACCCTTCTAATTTACAGGTGAGAGAAGCTGAGACCCTGAGATATTAAATAACCTACCTTTCAACCCAGGCTTTAGTGCCTCACCTCCCAAAGAGGGAACTGTTCTAGTCAATTGCAAAAGTCTATTTCAGCTCCATTCTTTTCACTGCCGCTCCCTTTCCTGTTACCTTCTTTTCCACCATAAATTCTGCCTTATGAAATAAGGTGAGGAACCTACCTCCACTTGCTGGGGACTCACTGTTCCAATCTTACCATGAGTTAGGTTCAGACCAACGCTGCAGATGGTTGCCAGATATGGGCAAATAGGCCCATGGCCTCTCTCCCCACTCCTGCCGCGTCAGTCCTCCCACCACGTCTCTTGTGGGGTGTCCTTGGTTACCACCCTCCCGGAATCTCACTTGAATCTTGACCCTGAGCCATCTGCTCCACCCACCACTCCTTCAGTTCCTGCCTATTCACCTGCCATTTCTCCCAGAGAGATGCTGCATCTTCTGCCTTCATCTCTCCTCCAACCCCCTCTGCCCCTACATCTGATTTTTTCCAAAGCACTAACTTGCCTCTGGTTCATCCTCTTCGAGGTCTTCAAAATGAGTGTATCTGTTACTTCCCTCGTGTGTTGTTTGCTCAGTAAGTGAGAACTAACACAGAGCCCTGCAGTTCTAAGGGAGTCTCAATCCTTGAAAAACTGACTTATATATTGCTGCCTTGGTGCGTCTACACAAGAAACTGTTAGTCCAAAATGGCTTTGGCTTTCATTCACTGTAGGAGAGGGATATTTAAAGGGTAGGTGCTAGAAATTCCTCAAGAGTTAAAATATTCCTTGAAAATACAAACTGGCAGGCTGAATTCATTATTGTGGGTTTTTTTTTTTCTTTTAAAAGCGGACAAACATTTTTCAATACTCGTGTTATGTGCTTTAAACATTGTCCTGACATCTGTTATTTAAAAGCACAATAGGCCTGGAGTGGTGGCTCACTCCTGTAATCCCAGCACATTGGGAGGCTGAGGTGGGTGGATCACTTGAGGTCAGGAGTTCAAGACCAGCCTGGCCAACATGCTGAAACCCCATCTCTACTAAAAATACAAAAGTTAGCTGGGTGTGGTGGCGTGGGCCTATAGTCCCAGCTACTAGGGAGGTTGAGGCAGGAGAATCGCTTGAACCCAGGAGGCAGAGGTTGCAGTGAGCCGAGATCGCACCACTGCACTCCAGCCTGGGCAACAGAGCGAGACTCTGTCAAAAAAAAAAAAAAAAAGCACAATAGAAGGCATGCTTTCAACTACAAACACAGATAAAATATGGAAACAGCTCTGTGTTTCTGGGTTATGGCCATGCTAAGCAACAGAGATTTGCATGACTAAGGTTCTACTGTGCTGACATATGCAAAATCCACAAGCAATCAAATCATTCTTAGTTTGACAATGTTTAAATGAGAAACGGAGCCTTCACCTTGGATCTGAAGACTTGTGGGCTCACCTGAGAACTCCATTTCACTCAATTTAATAGCAAGTTTAAAACAGACTTATCTAAATATTAGGTCTCCTTAACTTACAGTGATGTGGGTAGTGATTCTAATTATAGGAAGAAACAGTCAGTAGAGATTAGACCAGGGCAATCCAGGCATAATTCACCTGAGATTTGGCACAAGCTGATATTTAAAACTCACCTTTTACTTGCAAAAAAAAACAGCAACGACTTTTTTATTTTCTGTTAAAATACGCGACCTGATGACAATAAATGAATCCTCAAACATTTAGTCAGTTAAACACTACACTGACAGCATCTGTTTTGTTATTTTCTATTACAATTATAGTGGGTCAGGGGTTCTAATGAAATCATTTTCCCCAAAATATCAATTACCGGCCATAAAATGGGCTCAGATTTTGAATTTCCTGAATCGGCCCTAATTGCAATTATTTAACCTTTTTTTTTTTTCTTTTCTGAGACAGGGTCTCACTTTCTCGCCTAGTCTGGAGTGCAGTGGCACAATCACAGCTCACTGCAGCCTCAATCTCCCTGGCCTCAGGTGATCCTCCCACCTCAGCCTCCTGAGGAGCTGGGACTACAGGCATGCACCACCACGACCTGCTATTTTTTAGTATTTTTTTGTATCAATGAAGTTTTGTCATGTTGCCCAGGCTGGTCTTGAATTCCTGGGCTCAAGTGATCCACCCACATCTGCTTCCCAAAGTGCTGGGATTGTAGGCACAAGCCACCATGCCTGGCCTAATTTCAAATTTTCTGGGGTCATTTTATAATAAATAATTGAAATATGCTGGAAATTGTTAGTTGTGTTTCTTCCAGGGCAGGGGGCTGGGAGGTGAAATCCAAGTGTCCCTGAAACCTCATGTTAGATTTGCATGTCTTGATATTAGTGTAGGAAATACAGTTGCTGCTCAGGCCTTGAAAAAGAGTCATAGTGGCCCACTCATACCTGGATTGTTTCACAGGATGAAAACACAGCCAAGCCCCTAATCTCTCTGGTCCAGCCTGAACTTGAATCTGGACTTCCTTTGTCTACTATTTCCTTGTGTTGTAAAGAAGCTGCTGGCCATTGGATCTGCTTCATTTCTGGAACTTAGTGTCTTTCCACTTGAGAGGAGTCATTGGCTAGCCACACCTGATACCCATTTCAGAGAGCCGGGCAGAAAACAAAATGTGTCCTGTAGATTGCTGGAGAATGAGCCTGTGCGGCTCCTGTCCTAGCCCTCCCTCCCTACCTCCTTAAGAACAGTAATAGTGGGCTGGGCGTGGTGGCTCACTCCTGTAATCCCAGCACTTTGGGAGGCTGAAGCTGGTGGATCACGAGGTCAAGAGGTCCAGACCATCCTGGCCAACATAGTAAAACCTCGTCTCTACTAAAAATACAAAAATTAGCTGGGCGTGGTGGTGCACACCTGTAGTCCCAGCTATTCCAGGGGGCCGAGGCAGGAGAATCACTTGAACCTGGAGGCAGAGGTTGCAGTGAGCCAAGATCGCACC
Source organism: Homo sapiens (assembly GCF_000001405.40). NCBI lineage: Eukaryota > Metazoa > Chordata > Mammalia > Primates > Hominidae > Homo > Homo sapiens. The sequence continues at coordinate 15,137,822 of NC_000006.12, forward strand.
ACTGCACTCCAGTCTGGCGACAGAGCAAGACTCTATCTCAAAAAAAAAAAAAAAAAAAAAAAAAAAAAAAAAAGAAGAAGAATAAGAACAGTAATAATGATGGGGAGGAAAGTGTTAGTTCCAAGGTTCTGGGATGTGACCGGGTCTCAGGGGGCAGAAAACGGATACTGGTGCTTTAGGAATGGCAGAGACCTGCCCACCCAGGTTCCCAGTGGTGGCAAGACCTCTGATCGAGGGGTGTAAGCCCACAGGAAGTGAAAGTGCCTACCTTCTCACCAACTTCAAAAGACTTAACAATAAGTCTTTCAGCAGAGTCTATGAAGGTCTGAGGTAGGTCAGTTTTTAGGAGTGCGTAGGCTTCCGGGCCTCTCACGTCAGTGCTTCCCAGCTGTAATGTGTGCGTGAATCACCTGGGTCCCTTGTTAAAATGCAAACACTAATTTAATAGGTCTGGGTTGGATCCAAGATTCCTTTTAGATTCCTTTTATCTGTTTTTTTTTTTTTTTTTTTTTTTTGAGACGGAGTCTCGCTTTTGTCGCCCAGGCTGGAGCACAATGGCTCCATCTCGGCTCACTGCAACCTCCGCCTCCTGAGTTCAAGCAATTCTCCTGCCTCAGCCTCCTGAGTAGCTGGGATTACAGGCGCCCGCCAACATGCCCAGCTAATTTTTGTATTTTTAGAAGGGACAGGTTTTCAGTATGTTGGCCAGGCCAGGCTGGTCTCGAACTCCTGACCTCAGGTGATCCACTCGCCTCGGCCTCCCAAAGTGCTGGGATTACAGGAGTGAGGCACCACACCGGGCCAAGATTCCTTTTTTCTAACAAGCTTCTAAGGACCACACTTTGGGTAGGGAGGGCTTGTATAAACCTAGAAATATGGAGAGGCACTCTAAGGACTAAGGATATTGGTCAAATTACCAACCCTGGGAGCTGGATCCCAAGGAATCAAATTCAAGTTGATGTAGAAAAATCAACTATGGTCTTCCCTTTTTTGGGAATGCTCCAAATGGATATTAAGGGAAAGGTGAGATTTGCTGCGTCCACGTGTTGTGGAGCAAATTCAAGCTCATCTTTTGTGATACATGTGCTTGCCTGCTAGTAATTTAAAGCTTTAAGGCAGCTATTGCTTAATAGCTTAGTGAGCACGAACCAACCCTCTGCGTGTGGTAGAATCCCCATGGCATCACCACACCCGACCTGTCGAGCCTCCATCACCGCACCAGCATCTCAACCCAAAGATCATCACGAATGGTTCTTCTGTTACTATCGTGCCTTTATTTTTGGAATAGATGATTGTCTTTTTAAATCCTTGTAGAATCATCTTATAATTTCTTTGTTTCCCTACTTCCAAGTTAAAATTCTTAGATAATTTTTTTTTTTTTTTTGAGATGGAGTCTCACCCTGTCTCCCAGGCTGGGGTGCAGTGGCGCGATCTTGGCTCACTGCAACTTCCACCTCCCGGGTTCAAGCGATTCTCCTACCCCAGCCTCCCAAGTAGCTGGGATTACAGGCGCGCACCACCACACCCAGCTAATTTTCTGTATCTTTATTAGAGACGGGGTTTCATCATGTTGGCCAGGCTGTTCTTGAACTCCTGACCTCGTGATCTGCCCGCCTCGGCCTCCCAAAGTGCTGGGATTACAGGCGTGAGCCACGGTGCTGGGCCAGATAAATAATCTTTGACTGTATTACCATGTTCTGAGCCTCCACTGTGTATTAAACATCCTGCTTGGCTTCTTACATGTACATCGCCTAACTTATTCCCCATGAAAGGCAGGTATTATTAGTCTTATTTTATAGCTGGGGAAATTAATTCTCAATGAGTTTAAATAAATTCTTCAAGCTCTCATGGTACAAAGTGATTGAACTGAAAATTCAACTCATGCCCATTCGCTCCATAGGGGCTGGTTTTATTATACCATTTGTTTGTCTCTGTCAGGTCAGACTATTTCTGAGCCTTCTCCCAGGTCCACAAATAACCTACTTCATCCACCTACTTCAGGTTCCACTTCCCAGTGAACCATCATACCTTTCTCAAAAGCAATAGAATCCTCTGCAGCAAGGGCTTAATTTACCTTTCCGTTAATATCCATTTGGAGCATTCCCAAAAATGGAAGACCATAGTCTAATGTATTCTAAGTTCAAGAATATGCCTCACCCTGACGCAACTTAATTTTACAATTTTTTTTTTTTCTTTTTTTTTTTTTTAGACAAAGGGTCTCCCTATCCTGCCCAGGCTGGTCTCAAACTCCTGGGCTCAAGCGATCCTCCTGCCTCAGCCTCCCAGAGTGCTGGGATTACAGGTGTGAGCCACTGAACTCGGTCCAACTTTGCAGATTTCTAACGGTAGGTTTATGAGCCATCTCCAATTCTTGTGGAGAAACTTCTCCAAGGTTGGGCGCGGTGGCTCAGGCCTGTAATCCCAGCACTTTGGGAGGCCAAGGTGGGCGGATCACTTGAGGTCAGGAGTTCGAGACCAGCCTGGTCAACATGGTGAAACCCCATCTCTACTAAAAATACAAAAATTAGCCAGGCATGGCAGCACATGCCTGTAGTCCCAGCTACTTGGGAGGGTGAGGCAGGAGAATCGCTTGAACCCAGGAGGCAGAGGTTGCAGTGAGCCAAGATCACACCATTGCACTCCAGCCTGGGTGACAGAGGGAGACTCTGTCTCAAAAAAAAAAAAAAAAAAAAACAGAAAAGAAAAGAAAAGCTTCTCCAACAAAGAATTCCTGGAGGGCTGAATATAGCTTCCTTGGGGTTTGCCTCACTTTGTTTTCTGTTGCTAAAGCAGAAAACCACATACTTTGTAATTTATATGAATTTAGCCTGCAGAACCATAAGTTAAATAAACTTCATAAGAGATTTATGGTTTAACTTATAGTTCTGGAGGCTAGGAAGTCCATTATGAAGGGCTGGCATCTGGTGAGGTCCTTCTTGCTGCATCGTAACATGGCAGAAGGGCAGAAGAGTGTGAGAGAGAAAGGCACCAGGGTCTGGACTTGCTTTACAACTCACTCTAGCCATAACTAACCAGCTCCTGCGATGACATTAATCTGTTCACTAGGGCAGAGTGCTCACAGTGCAGTTGCTGCTTGCTTATTTGGTCCCACTTCCAGACATTGTTGCATTGAAAATTACATTCCCACCATGTAAACTTTTGGAGGGACAGGGCTCAAGAAGTTGTGGACACTACTAAGTCTTACTCTTTCCTAGAGGAATAAAGACCTCTTTTTGGCTGGGCATGGTGGCTCACACCTGTAATCCTAGTACTTTGGGATGCCAAGGCAGGAGGATCACTTGAGCCCAGGAGTTTGAGACCAGCCTGAGCCACAAAGTGAAACTCCAACTTGACAAAACATTTTAAAAAATTATTCAGATGTCATGGCACATGCCTGTAGTCCCAGCTATTCTGGAGGCTGAGACAGAAGGATTGCTTGAGCCCAGGAGGTCGAGGCTGCAGTGAGCTATGGTCACACCATTGCACTCCAACCTGGGCAACAGACAAAGTGAGATCCCATCTAAAAAAAAAAAAACTTTCTGGGAAGTTCACCAAGGCTTTACTTCATTCCTGAGACAGTTGGCTTCATTAGGTCCACTAGCAGAGGGACTTTGACTGGCTCCTAAATTAGTTTTGGGTCATATGTCTTTCATGACAAATTGAAGTGTTTGTGGCACAGACAGCCATTGTACCATAAGACAGGTAGTACAAGTAGCCAGAAAAATCTTGTTCATATTGGGCTGCAACTTACAAGCTTTGATACACTGAGCAAGCCACTTTACTGTACTTTTTTTTTTTAACTATTTCTTTATTTTGTTTATTTATTTTTTTGAGACAGAGTATCATTCTGTTGCCCAGGCAGGAGCGCAGTGGCACAATCTTGGCTCACTGCAACCTCCACCTCCCAGGTTCAAGTGATCCTCCTGCCTCAGCCTCCAGAGTAGCTTGGACTACAGGCACAGATCACCATAACCAGTTAATTTTTGTATTTTTAGTAGAGACAGGGTTTTACCTCGTTGGCCAGACTGGTCTCGAACTCCTGACCTCGAGTGATCCACCCTCCTTGGCCTCCCAAAGTTTTGGGATTATAGGTGTGAGCCACCGCGTCCAGCCTAATTTTTGTATTTTTAGTAGAGACGGGGTTTCACCATGTTGGCAAGGGTGGTCTGGAACTCCTGGCCTCAAGTGATACACCTACCTTGACCTCCCAAAGTTCTGAGATTACAGGGTTGAGCCACCATGCCCAGCCACAAGCTACTTTACTTTTCTAAGTCTCAATTTAACTGTAAGATGTTAGTAATGGTAGATGACTGTAAGACTGCTAGAGGATTAAGTGGAATATCCTATGAAGTGTATCTGGCCTAAAGTTGCTATTCAATAAATAAATGCATATGATATCTCTTGCAAGGTAAATGATTTTAAATGACTTTGGTGTTTTTTGTTTTGTTTTGTTTTGAGAGAGGGTCTCACTCTGTCACCCAGGCTGGAGCACAGTGGTGTCATCTCGGCTGACAACAATCTGCACCTCCTGGGCTCAAGTCATCTTCCCACCTCAGCTTCACGAGTAGCTGGGACAAGTGCCAACCATATGCCTGGCTAATTTTTAAAATTTTTTGTAAAGACAAGGTCTCACTATATTGCCCAGGCTGATCTCAAATTCCTGGGCTCAACCGATCCTCCTGCCTCAGCCTCCCAAAGTGCTGGGATTGCAGGCGTGAGCCACCACGCCCAGCCTAGTTTCAGTCTTTATTGCCTTTCACACTCAGTTTTACTTTGTCTGAGTAGAGTGATGAGTAGAGGGAATCCCAATCCCTTTCATACTTCTCTTCCCATCAGTTAGCAATCCATTTTCTGGCAAACTTTCAGGTCCTTTCCATTTTAGTGAGGCTGTAAGCGAAATAATAATAATAATAATTTTTTAAAAAACCTTACTCACCTAGGTACCATTAATTCTTCTAAGATGGTAAATTGGGCCAAGATCGAGTCACAATAAAATTTTGTCATTCTTCTACGATGGAGTGCTGGGCCATCTCTTGATCACATTGGATGTTAACTAGATGACCTCTTGTAGTGCTTGGAAAAATACTCAGAAAGTACGCATTTAGATTGTAGTTTACCCTGCAAGCGTGTACATCATCTCTCCACAATTCAGTGACACCTCATCAGTCCTCTACATGGGGCGCCTATCCCACAGCTATTCAGATCCCACAGAGAACCCAGGTCCCGCTTTTGCTTTCGTTCTGCCTCAGAATCATCTAGCTAAGGAAAACTGCTTTCCAAGTTTGGGTTCAAATCCAGGTCAAAATAGTCCCTTTTCCCTCCTCACCATCCCACACCAACCCCTTCCCCAGACCCCCAGTTCTGAGCATACAGAACTAGGCACAGGGTTGAAGGATTGAGTGAATAAATGCATGAACAATTGTCCCAGCAGGTTCTGAGGCACTGTGTCAAGTGTGCTAAGACACAGGCCATCTGCTTTGTATCTTGACACCACGGAGTGTTTGTTTTAGTCATTTCTCCTTGCTCCCCTGAATCTCCCAAGCCCCAGCATATTTACAGCCGTTCAATAATAACTTCTTAGCCAGGGAATTCAAGATGAGTGGCAATAATTAACAGTCCTATGAACGTATGTCTATGGATGAGGGGAGAGAATTCCAAAGGTAAAAACAGCACTTGGGTGGACTTACCCTACAGACATTGCTTATCGGATTGGCTGCATGCTCCTAGAATGGCGGGAATGACTGTGGTCCATGAACTGTCAGTGTCAACATTCATCCAGGAACTTGTGAGGAATGCAGAATCTTGGGTCCCTCCCCAGACCTACTAAATCAGGATCTGCCTCCTAACAAAATCTCAAGGTGATGAGATTGCTGCTTGTCTAGGGACTATGCTTTGAGAAGCAAGACTGTACATTACCCATCATCACCTAAAGAGGTCACACATGGTCACACCTCCGAAGCTTGGCTCATGCTATTCCTTCTCCTTACAATATCCTTCCCCATCTTCTCTCCATGAATTCTACATTATTTCAGTTCCTACATGGAAATCATCAGAGCACCCATTTTAGCACTTAACGAAGAGAATGGCTTGCTTACCTGGACTCTACCTAAGCATTCCTAATTACCTCGAATTGTAATTACCATAGTTGTTAATATGGACTGGAGCTTGGGCTACATAGTGAGCCCCCATCTCTACATAAAATTAAAAAATTAGCCAGTATGAGCCAGGCGCGGTGGCTTACGCCTGTAATCCCAGCACTTTGGAAGGCTGAAGCGTGCAGATCACGAGGTCAAGAGATCGAGACCATCCTGGCCAACATGGTGAAACCCAGGCTCTACTAAAAATACAAAAAATTAGCTGGGCATGGTGGTGTGCGCCTGTAGTCCCAGCTACTCGGGAAGCTGAGGCAGGAGAATCACTTGAACCTGGGAGACGAGGTTGCAGCGAGCCAAGATCACGCCACTCCACTCCAGCCTGGCAATGGAGTGAGACTCTTTTGAAAGAAAGAAAGGAAGAGAGGAAAAAAGAAAAGAAAGAAAGAAAGAAAGAAAGAAAGAAAGAAAGAAAGAAAGAAAGGAAGGAAGGAAGGAAGGAAGGAAGGAAGGAAGGAAGGAAGGAAGAAAGAAAGAAACAAACAAAGAAGGAAAGAGAAAGGAAGAAAGGAAGAAAGGAAGAAAAGAAAGAAAAAGAAAGAGAAAGAAAGAAAGAGAAAGAAAGAAAAGAAAGAAAAAGAAAGAAAGAGAGGAAGAAAGAAAGAAAAAATTAGCCAGTATGGTGGCATGCACCTGTACTCCCAGCTACTCAGGAGGCTGAGGTGGGAGGATTGATTGAGCCCTGGAGTTGGAGGCTGCAATGAGCCGTGGTCACACCACTACCTCTAGCCTAGAAAGCAGTGTGAGACCCTGTCTCAAAATATATATTTTTGAGCAACAAGGTCTTCCTCTGTTGCCCAGGCTGGAGTGCAGTTGCACAATCATGACTCATGGAAGCCTCCCAGGTTCAAATGATCCTCCCACCTCAGGCTCACACCTATACTCCCAGAACTTTGGGAGGCTGAGGAGGGAGGATTGCTTGAGCCCAGGAGTTGGAGACCACTCTGGGCAACATTATAAGACCCTGTCTCTACAAAAAAATAATAATTATGAAAATTAGCCAGGCATAGTGGCGCATGCTGACAGTCCCAGCTAGTCAGGAGCCTGAGGCAGAAGGATCACTTGAGCCTGGGAGGCTACAGTGAGCCGTGATAGTGCCACTGCACTCCAGCCTGGGCAACAGAGCGAGGCTTTGTGTCAAAAAACAAAACAAAACAAGCAAACTATATATATATTTAAATATATTTCTCCTGTAGGACTGAGTTGTTCAACAGTAGAGAGAGATTATGTTTCTTCATTGTCCAGAACATAATATGTGCTCAATAAATGCTCATTCAGTGAACATTGGCACTGTATGCTCTTTGTCATTTCTATGTTCTATAGGTTCCAGAAAAAGCCACGTCATTTATAAGACATCCCACTAAATTTTAAATTACGCCCCATTCATCATACAGCAAACACCTATGTGCTTGCTGAATGAAAACCCATCTTGTGGCCGGGCACGGTGGCTCAAGCCTGTAATCCCAGCGCTTTGGGAGGCCGAGGCAGGCGGATCATGAGGTCAGGAGATGGAGACCATCCTGGCTAACACGGTGAAAAAAAAAAAAAAAGTCCCAACAAAATAAAATCCCAACAAAACAAAACGTAAGCTCACACCAGTTCATCTCCTCATGAAGTATAACCTCTAATGCAGTATCACGCTCATTTTCCATGACTTACCTGTTATGAGCACACATTATTCCATTATTAAACACTAAAGGAAACAGAGGACCTACTAGGCAAGAAGAGTTTTCAGACTGTTAAGTGGCTGGAAGGTTGCCTGGTCCTTGCGCCCGTTAAAAGACTGCACAAAAAGTCAGCACGTCCTAACTGCATTGCAGGGTTTCTATTAACTCTCAGCCCTGTAGGATTTGTCATCCAGTCATAAATGGACCCCATTTTTCTGACAATGGGAAAGAAGCAGCAGTTGTAATATGGATGGCTGTTATTCCTATTACCTTCTATTAAGAGGCACTTTCTTTCTTACTGGATCTCAAACCCAGCAGATTTCTCCTCATCTTGTATTTTGAGTGTAGAAGGAAGAAGAAGCTGTGAGAATGTGCTGGTGATGTCACAAAAGGGTAAAGAGGAAGCACAATCTAATTTCTCCCCCACTTTTTTCCTTTTTAAGAATGTAGTTTGATATTTATTTAATTTAAAAAGCCTCTGGTCAGGCTTGGGGGCTCATGCCTGTAATCCCAGCACTTTGGGAGGCAGAGGTGGGTGGATCACCTGAGGTTGGGAGTTTGAGACCAGCCTGATCAACATGGTGAAACCCCATCTCTACTAAAAATACAAAATTAGCCAGGTGTGGTGGCGCATGCCTGTAATCCCAGCTACTCGGGAGGCTGAGGTAGGACAATCGCTTGGACCTAGGAGGCAGACGTTGCAGTGAGCCAAGATAGTACCATTGCACTCCAGCCTGGGTAACAAGAGCAAACTCCATCTCAAAAAAAAAAAAAAAATAGCCGGGTGCGGTGGTGGGCACCTGTAGTCCCAGCTATTCAGGAGGCTGAGGCAGGAATATCGCTTGAACCCAGGAGGTGGAGATTGCAGTGAGCTGAGATCACACCACTGCACTCCAGCCTAGGCAACAAGAGCAAAACACCATCTCAAAAAAAAAAAAAAAAAAGTTTCTGTACAGTGTAACAAATGCAATTTTTACAAATCTGTTTTGAAAACATGGTGGCTGTTGATTTGGGTTTCATACTCTTAACAACTTCATCCACCAGTTTTTTTAGCTTCCTAATGTCTTGTAACCGCTCAGCTCACACAGTTCTGAAGTTTAGCTCCAGTCAGCTCACTTCCAGTGATGACTGGATGGAGTCCTATTTTTTTTTTTTTTTGAGACGGAGTTTCGCTATTGTTGCCCAGGCAGTAGTGCAACGGCTCGATCTCGGCTCACTGCCTCCTCTGCCTCCTGGGTTCAAGTGATTCCTCTGCCTCAGCCTCTCAAGTAGCTGAGATTACAGGCAAGCGCCACCATGCCCAGCTAATTCTTGTATTTTTAGTAGAGACAGGGTTTCACCATGTTGGCCAGGCTGGTCTCAAACTCCTGACCTCAGGTGATCCACCCACCTCGGCCTCCCAAAGTGCTGGGATTACAGGCGTGAACCACCACACCAGGCCTGATTTTAGTGCTCTACACGTTCAGAAAAACTTGTCTAGTAAGAAACTGTAGAAATGATCCCTGAAGCCCTGAAAATATAGTCTTTTCTCCTCTTTTCTTTCCTTTTTTTTTGTTTGTTTTGTTTCGTTTTTGAGACAGGGTCTTGCTCTGTCGCCCAAACTGGAGTGCAGTGGCACCATCACAGCTCACTGCAGCCTCAAACTCCTGGGCTCAAGCTATCCTCCCATCTCAGCCTCCCAAGTAGCTGGGACTACAGGCACACACCACCATGCCTAGTTAATTTTTATTATTTTTTTTTTTTCTTTTTTTTTGGCGGGACGGAGATTTACTCGTTGCCCAGGCTGGAGTGCAATGGCGCAATGTTGGCTCACCGCATCCTCTGCCTCCCAGGTTCAAGCGATTCTCCTGCCTCAGCCTCCTGAGTAGCTGGGATTACAGGCATGTGTCACCACGCCCGGCTGATTTTGTATTTTTAGTAAAGATGGGGTTTCACCGTGTTGCCCAGGCTGATCTCGAACTCCTGACCTCAGGTAATCCGCCCACCTCAGCCTCCCAAAGTGCTGGGATTACAGGCGTGAGCCACTGCGCCGAGCCATTATTATTTTATTTTATTTTATTATTGTTATTTTTTTTTATAGAGACTGGGTCTCACTATATTGCCAAGGCTGGTCTCAAACTCCTGGGCTCGAGCGATCCTTCCTCCTCGGCCTCCCCAAGTGCTGGGATTACAGGTGTGAGCTGTCACTCCCGGCCTTTAATTTCTCCCCTTTTCTAAAAACCCCAATTAACTACCTAAAAATGTAAGAAAAAATGAAAAGTTTGTCTAACAGCAGGTTCCAAATTTACAGTGAGTGATAAGACAAGACTGGCCATGGAGGTAGGCGTTCTAAATTTAGCTCCACGCTACCTCCTCGCACAGGCAGGGAGCAAGTCAGTCCTCCTCTGTGCCCAGGTCTCTTTGCCTGTCCCACGCAGGCAGCATCTGCCCTATCTCCAGGGCCTTGGCTGGACAAAACAGATCACAGATGCAAAACTATTTCATATACTCTAAGTCAGGGCTTCTTATTCAGGGGTCCATGGCCCCTCAACCCTTGGCCTTGGCCTCAGGATTTTAACAAACATCCAGACACTATCTTATTGAAGCTGGTGTGTATATGTACATGTGCTTTTTTCTGGGGAGAGAGTCTATAGCTTTCTTCAGATTTTCAAAGGAGTCTATGATCCAAATTACTATCCTGCTCCTCTTTTCTCTGTTATTAATTTCCGAGTGTTTACTGAGCCTTCACCAGGGGATCTGTTATTAATGATGTGGCTAACTTCCACTTCTCTTCTAACCTTGGAGCCGTCAAGGAAGGTTTACAGGGTTTATATTGGTTTGGATTTCACTTTAGAGGAGGGAGGGGGTGAAGATCACGTCCCCAGAGATGCCTGAGGAGCATTACCTCATCTCTGGGGAAAGCTAAGCCCAGGAGCTCTCCCACAGGGCCCCGTCAGGGCAGAGCATGAGGCTGTTGGGCCTGTTCTAAGTCGTGTTCTGGGGTTTTCTACTCCGGCAACACCTAACATATGGCATGTGCACTGATGCTTATGAAAACAGTGATTCATTCTTAATCCTTTAAAAAAAAAAAGTCAACCCTATGTGGCCTTGGCTCTCCTCCCTGAATGCCCTTCTGTTCTCCAGAATGTCTGTGTTGTCACCTGCCTCAGCCTTGTGTCGTGCGCTCTGTGACTCTGCCTCTCTGCAGGCCCCCTCCTGCCTTCCATGTCTGTCTCATTCCATCCCCACTGCTCTTTCCTCAGCGTCCTTGTGGTCACTCTGAAGCTGTGCATCCTCAGCCCTGTGTAGATGGGAAGACCTTTCCTCTCCTTCATTTCCATCCATGCACCTTGCCCAAGTGCCCCTCACCCTCACGCCTCTTCCACACTGGGTCTATTCTATGCCTTTATCCTCCTTCCCTAGGCTTCGTCCCTTTAGGGAAAATCTCCAGCTATGGGAAAACCTCCCTAGCTGGGGAGAGGCAGGAAGTAAGAAGGTGAGGGAAGAGGTAGGAAAAATTGGGGTATGGGCTGAATGAGGGCAGAAGTGGGGGAAGTGGGCTGCAGGGAAAATGACTGAGAATCACCGACTTTGCCTCCTGTCTTGCAACCTCTGCCTCCTGGGTTCAAGCAATTCTTGTGCCTCAGCCTCTCAAGTAGCTGGGATTACAAGCATGCGCCACCATGCTCAGCTAATTTTTATATTTTTAGTAGAGACCAGCTTTTCCCATGTTGGCCAGGCTGGTCTCGAACTCCTGACCTCAGGTGATCCGCCCACCTCAGCCTCCCAAAGTGCTGGGATTCCAGGCATGAGCCACCAAACCCAGTCTCGTCTTGATTTCTTTCATAAAATCATTTGTTTGATGCCCAACTGGGCAGAAGATGAAGATGTTATATCGTGAGAGAAGACAGAACCTTGCCAGTCTTATAAAAAATGAAGGAAAGAGAAGGACAGAGGGACAGGAGGAAAGAGGGGGAAAGATTCGGGAGATCATGAGGGGTAGGGGATAAGAACGCATCATATCATAGCTAACTCTGCTGTTGTTGCTGTTGTTTGTTGTTGTTGTTCTTGTTGTTCTTTGAGATGGAGTCTCACTCTGTCACCCAGGCTGGAGTGCAGTGGCACGATCTCAGCTCACTGCAACCTCCACTTCCTGGGTTCAAGCAATTCTCCTGCCTCAGCCTCCCGAGTAGCTGGGATTACAGGCATGTGCCACCACACCAGGCTAATTTTTTGTATTTTTAGTGGAGACAGGGTTTCTCCATATTGGCCAGGCTGGTCTTGAACTCCTGACCTTATGATCTGCCCACCTTGGCCTCCCAAAGTGCTGGGATTACAGGCGTGAGCCACTGCGCCTGGCTATTTTTATTTTATTTTATTTTATTATTTTATTTTATTTTATTGAGACGGGGTCTTACCATGTTTTCCAGGCTGGAGTGCAGTAGTGCAATCAAAGCTCGCTGCAGCTTCAGGCTCCTGAACTCAAGGGATCCTCCTGCCTCAGCCTCCTGAGTAACTTGAACTACAGGTACTCCTCACGCCCAGTTTTTTGTTTTTTGTTTTTTTCTTTATAGAGGCCAGATTTGGCAATGTTGCCCAGGCTGGTCTTGAACTCCTGAGCTCAAATGATCCTTCCGCCTTGGCTTCCCAAAGCCCTGGGATTATAGGCATGAGCCACCATGCCTGGCCTTAACTCTGTTTAGACCAAAGCAGATCTTAACCAATGGATAGGCAAATAGGACTCAGGAGACACAGGAGAGTCATTTCTAGAGTCAAAAGCAGCCAATCATTGTCAATGAGGTTTAAGATTAGGGTAGTCCCAAATTATGCAATAAGGTGGGTTCCAAACATTGGTTGTTGCCTGGAGCTCAAAACATGTTTCCAAAAAAGGCAGTATCCTTTGAAGAAGTCCAACAAAACTGTGTGAATCTTGGTTCTATGTAACCTTGGGTAAGCAACAACCTCTCCGAGCCTTAAATAAAGATGACAATACCTTCTAAGAAGTGTATCTTGGCCGGGCATGGTGGCTCATGCCTGTAATTCCAGCACTTTGGAAGCCTGAGGCAGGAGGATCCCTTGAACTCAGGAGTTCAAGACCAGCCCAGGCAACATAGTGAGACCCTGTCTCTTTTAAAAAAAAATTAAAAATAATTAAAGGAAAAAGAAGAAGTATATCTCTCCTTTTTTTTTTTTCTTTTTGAGATGGGGTCTTGCACTGACGCCAGGCTGGAGTACAGTGGCGTGAACTCAGCTCACTGCAAGCTCCACCTCCCAGGTTCAAGTGATTCTCCTACCTCAGCCTCCCGAGTAGCTGGGACTACAGGCATGCACCACCACGCCCAGCTAATTTTTGTATTTTTAGTAGAGATGGGGTTTCACCACGTTGGCCAGGATGGCCTCTATCTCTTGACCTCGTGATCTGCCCACCTCGGCCTCCAAAGGCAGGAGGATCACTTGAGCCCAGGAGTTTGAGACCAGCCTGGGCAACATAGTGAGATCCCATCTCTATTTTAATAAAAAATTAAAACAAAAAAAGGCTCCAATATATGGCAGATAGAATTACAGAGAAAAGCCACAGTAGCTAATAACCGGCAATGCACTGAAAATAGACAACTGTGCTAAAAAGACCATAGAAACCGAACAATAGTGTACTGCACGATGCTTGCAGAGGAAAGGGATCTAGAGTTTCAACCCCTAGCAGTAGAAGTGGATTGTTGCAGCAAGTACAGCCTCAGCTGTCATCTGTGCCCTAGGGCAGGGTTCAGTAGGTTAGGCGTTAAGAGACAGTGTACCTCATAAGAAGTGGTCAGGTTTCTTTCTGAGTTTCAGTTCTTCATTTATAGAAAGAGGATAGTAACGCACACTGTACACAGATTGTAGAAGACTAAAAATAGACCAGTATCAAAAATATTAAAAATTTTGAAAAATTCAAAATAAGATAGACCCTATTCCCAAACTATTTTCTGGAACATCAGCTGTATGGGCTATTAATAGGAATTACCAAAAAGGAAGTTTCCACACTCAAATAAAAATGGGAAATGCTGGCCGGGCGCAGCAGCTCACTCTTGTAATCCCAGCACTTTGGGAGGCCAAGGCAGGTGGATCACCTGAGGTTAGGAGTTTGAGACCAGCCTGGCCAACATGGCGAAACCCCGTCTCTACTAAAAATACAAAAACATTAGCCAGGCATGGTGGCAGTTGCCTGTAATCCCAGCTATTTAGGAGGATAAGTCAGGAGAATCGATTGAACCCAGGAGGCAGAAGTTGCAGTAAGCCGAGATCATTCCACTGCACTCCAGCCTGGGCAAAAGAGCAAGACTTCGTCTCAAAAAATAAAAAGGGGGGCCGGGCGCGGTGGCTCACACCTGTAATCAGAGCACTTTGGGAGGCCGAGGTGGGGGGATCACTTGAGGTCAGGAGTTTGAGACCAGCCTGACCAACATGGAGAAACCCCATCTCTACTAAAAATACAAAACTAGCTGGACATGGTGGCACATGTCCGTAATCCCAGCTACTTGGGAGGTTGAGGCAGAAGAATTGCTTGAACCCAGGAGGCAGAGGTTGCAGTGAGCCGAGATCACGCCATTGCACTCCAGCCTGGGCAACAAGAGCGAAACTCTGTCTCAAAAAAAAAGGAAATGCTAGGTCACAAGGAGGTCTCATACATCATCGGTTGACATAGAAATATATGCAAATTTGCAATATCTTCCAACATTTTAAATGCACATCTCCTTGGACATGGCAATCCTGCTAATGAGATGAAGGAGAAACACTAAATGAATTTTTCTTTTTTTTTTTTTATGAGGCAGAGTCTCACTCTGTCGCCCAGGCTAGAGTACAGTGGTGCGATCTCGGCTCACTGCAACCTCCGCCTCCCAGGTTCAGGTGATTCTCCTGCCTCAGCCTCCTGAGTAGCTGGGATTACAGACATGCACCACCACAGCCGGCTAATTTTTGTATTTTTAATAGAGACAGGGTTTCACCATGTTGGTCAGGCTGGTCTCGAACTCCTGACCTCATGATCCGCTCACCTCAGGCTCCCAAAGTACTGGGATTACAGGCGTGAGCCACCGCGCCCAGAATCTAAATGGATTTCTTATTGTAGGACTTCTTCAAGACAATAATGTGATATGTAGCATCTCCCAAACATATTTAAACTCAGATTCCTCTTCTTACGAGACATCTCCTGGGACTAGAGTTCCAAGGAAGACATTTGGAAACACTCAATTAAACCATGCGTGAGAGAGCTCCTAGCACAGATGGTTTTCCAGAAGACTTTATTTTCTTCTGCTGGTCCCAAGATTGGCCTCAGACCTCTTATCCCATCATCACCATCTGTTCCTTATGACCAAAGTCTCTCTCTTCCCTGGCCAGCTACACAATCAGATATATTTCAGCAACTTCCCTCTGCCCTCCTTTCTCTGAAGTATAGATTCCTGTAGGAGTTTCCCAAAGATCTTTGTGGCTCATAGTCATGAGGAATAAAAAACAAAAATGTTTTCTCCTCCAATGTCCTCTTTATTCATTTTGTCTCTGTAAGGAATGGCAAGGTCAAACAGATATAAGAGGTGAGGCTGTGTATGTGAAAGACCCCAAGCAAAATTCACTAAATTTCAAAGAAAAATTAGATGATATGCCAGACGCGGTGGCTCACACCCGTAATCCCAGCACTTTAGGAGGCTGAGTAGGGCAGATCACCTGAGGTCAGGAATTCCAGACCAGCCTGACCAACATGGAGAAACCCTGTCTCTACTAAAAACACAAAATTAGCCGGGCGGGTTGGCACATGCCTTTAATCCCAGCTACTCAGGAGGCTGAGGCAGGAGAATCCCTTGAATAGTGACATGGGAATCTCAACAAGGAGGACCTCGTATGCCGTATACAGTGGAGCACTGGTAACTGGATACTACCTACACAAGTGAGGTCTGAAAGTAATCCCTACATGAATGAACAAAACTAACTGGATGTACATTGAGCATAAGTCAGTAAGTCATAGTGACTGCCTTGAGAATTAAAAATATAGAGAGATCTTGGCAAGAAGCAGGCCCAGCTGAGTAAGGCTATCTTGTTTGATGAAGTAAGGAAGGCTATCTTATTTTCTCATGTCTTACCCAGTTGAGTAAGGCTATCTTGTTTTCTCATGTCACAGCGACAGTATGAGAGTCTCCTTAAAAGAAATTCCTAGTGAAGACAGGGCACGGTGACTCACGCCTGTAATCCTAGCACTTTGGGAGGCCGAGGCAGGAGGATTGCCTGAGCTCAGGAGTTCGAGACCAGCCTGGGCAACATGATGAAACCCCATCTCTACTAAAACTTAAAAAAAAAAATTAGCCGGGCATAGTGGTGGGCACCTGTAGTCCCAGCTACTTGGGAGGCTGAGGGAGGAGAATCACTTGAACCCGGGAGGCAGAAGTTGCAGTGAGCCTAGATAGAGCCACTGCACTCCAGCCTGGCTACAGAGCGAGACTCCATCTCCAAAAAAAAAAGAAAAAGAAAGAAATTCCTAGTGAAATACCTTTTGCTCTACTGAGCAAAGTTTCAATGCCTTCTTTGAGGTACTGAATCCCAGCAGGCTGCTAGGGGAAGATTATTTTTCTAGCAGCATTTGTCAATAGATCTGTATCCTATTATAATCTACACAAACAGGCGTGTGGTGTGTGTGTGTGTGTGTGTGTGTGTGTGTGTGTGTGTGTGTGTATATATATATTTTTTTTTTTTTTAGAGAGGGAGTATTGCTTTGCTGCCCAGGCAGGCCTCAAACTCCTTGCTTCAAGCAATTCTCCCTCCTCGGCCTCCCAAAGTGCTGGGGTTACAGGTGTGAGCCTCCACATCTGGCTATCTCTGTTTTCTTCATCTTGATAGTGGTGTTCCTGACCAGCTATTTGGGGTTTTTTGCTGACTCTAAAGTCTCTGAAATTCCTTGAATACAAAGCGCAATGGAGGCACATATTGTTGTTATTATTAAGATAGACTGGCCGGGTGCAGTGGCTCATGCCTGTAATCCCTAAACTTTGGAAGGCTGAGGTAGGCAGATCACAAGGTCAAGAGATCGAGATCATCCTGGCCAACATGGCGAAATACCGTCTCTACTAAAAATACAAAAATTAGCTGGGTGTAGTGGCACGTGCCTGTAGTCCCAGCTACTCGGGAACCTGAGGCAGGAGAATCACTTGAACCCAGGAGGTGGAGGTTGCAGTGAGCCAAGATCACACCACTGCACTCCAGGCTGGGTGACAGAGCAAGACTCCACCTCAAAAAAAAAAAAAAAAAGATACAGAGGAGGAAAAGAAAGGTTAACTGTATGCACAGTTGAAAGATCATTTTTATAGAGGCCTCCAAATCACTATAATTAATTATTGTGGGGTGTCTTACATACGACCATGGAATGCCACATGACTGATTACTATAGTTTGAATGTGTCCCCCATTCATGTGTTGGAAAGTTAATCCCCTCTACAACAGTGTTAAAACGTAAGACCTTTTAGAAGTGATTGGGCCATGAAGCCTCCACCCTCATGAATGGATTAACACTGTTATCTTGGGAATGGGATAGGTTTCTTTTTTGAGACAGGGTCTCGCTCTGTTGCCCAGGCTGGAGTACAGTGGTGTGATATCTGCTCACTGCAACCTCCACTTCCTGGGCTCCAGTGATCCTCCTGCCTCAGCCTCCCAAATAGCTGGAATTACAGGCATGTGTTACCTTGCCTGGCTAATTTTTGTATTTTCAGCAGAAAAGAGGTTTTGCTATGTTGCCCAGGCGCTCAGACTCCTGACCTCAAGTGATCCTCATGCCTCGGCCTCCCAAAGTGCTGGGATTACAGGTGTGAGCCACTGTGCTGGCTAAGGGAGTAGGTTTCTTATAAAATGATGAATTCAGCCTCCTTTTGCTCTCTCCTCCTCATTTGCTCCTCTGCCCTCCACCGTGGGATGACACAGCAAGAAGGGTCTCATGAGGTGCCAGCCTCACGATCTTGGACTTCCCAGTCTCCAGAACTGTGAGCCAATAAATTTCGTTGTTTTTTTTTTTGTTTGTTTGTTTGTTTAGATAAAGTCTTGCTCTGTTACCCAGGCTGGAGTGCAGTAGCGCAATCTCACTGCAGCCTCTGCCTCCTGGGTTCAAGCGATTCTCATGCCACAGGCTCCTGAGTAGCTGGGACTACAGGCACATGCCACTATGCTTGGCCAATTTTTGTATTTTTAGTAGAGACAGGGTTTCACCATGTTGGCCAGGCTGGTCTTGAACTCCTGGCCTCAAGTGATCCACCTGCCCTCCCAAAGTGCTGGGATTACAGGCATGAGCCACCGCGCCTGGCCCATATTTCTGTTTATTATAGATCACCCAGTCTATGGTATTGTGTTACAGGAGCACTAAATGGACTAAGACAGTGATGAAGAATGTATACAATCTTAAAAGCACATGTAAACTCTGACACACACAGTAGAAAGGAAAAGTTACATTGAGCACAATGTCTCACATATATATAACCCCAGCACTTTGGGAGGCTAAGGTGGGAGGATTCCTTGAGCCCAGGAGTTTGAGGCTGCAGTGAGCTATGATTGCATCACTGCACTCCAACGTAGGTGACAAAGTGAGACCTCATCTCTAGTTTTTGTTGTTGGTGTTGTTGTTGTTGTTGTTGTTTTTGTTTTTGAGAGAGGGTTTCACTCTAGTTGCCCAGATTGAAGTGCAATGGAGAGATCTTGGCTCACTGCAACCTCTGCCTCCTGGGTTCAAGTGATTCTCCTGCCTCAGCCCCCCGAGTAGCTGGGATTACAGGCTTGCGCCACCACGCCCAGCTAATTTTGTATTTTTAGTAGAGACGGGGTTTCACCATGTTGGTCAGGCTGGTCTCAAACTCCTGACCTCAGGTGATCTGCCCGCTTCAGCCTCCCAAAGTGCTGGGATTACAAGCATGAGCCACTGCACCCAGCCTCAAGACCTCATCTCTAAAAACAAAACAAAACAAGACTAAAAAGGAAATATAGTTTGGCCAAGACAGGTAAATTTAAAAGTCAATATATTTGTTTCAGTAAAATATAATCAGGAAGATAAATCTTTAACGAGCAATTTATAACCTGTGTCCAAAGCCAAAGATAATTTTAAATATTCATTGATTTAAATTATGAAAAGAAAGGTGTCCTACTTGTTACTGTAAATAATTGAGAGTTAACTAGAAATTTAAATATTTTTTACGAATAAAGGAATGAGTTCCTAAATTCTTGAAAATTTGATTTATGATGACTTTTCTTTCATTAGGTTGTAACTAAAGTAATGAGATTAAAAAAACTGACAAATGGAAACAAAAACTAATAACATGAAGAACTAAGATTTGAATGTGTTTGTGCATAAGTAAAAGTCATGTTTTTTTAAATTAAGGATGAATCTAAGAAACACAATTGC
Organism: Homo sapiens; assembly: GCF_000001405.40. Lineage (NCBI taxonomy): Eukaryota > Metazoa > Chordata > Mammalia > Primates > Hominidae > Homo > Homo sapiens. The sequence continues at coordinate 15,157,020 of NC_000006.12, forward strand.
AATTGAAAAAGCAATGCATACGTCTCCAGAACCTGCTCAGTCCTATCAAAAACAGCTAACTTTTTTTTCTACTAACCTTTTAATCTGAGTTCCTCTTCTTCTTTACTGAAAGATAACATCTACTCTTTGAAATCACCTCTATTGGTTAAAATTAATGAATTGAGGGGAAGGGAACCCTTGACAACTCTGCCTCCAGCCATGGCAGATTAATTTGTAACAGACCAACACAGTCTCTCCAGGAATATATGAACAAAATGGAGATGGGGGAAACCGTTTGTTGGGTGTCATCAGAGTGGTACCAAGGCATCCAGGACCTGAAGGGGCAAGATTCCATAGAGAAGGGAATCTTAGGTGTGAGCCTGATATTAGTCATCTGTAGCAGTTTTTCTTTTCTTTTGGGGAGGGGGGCAGGTTGTGGGGAGGTAGGGGAGACAGGGTCTCTCTTGTGCTGCCCAGACTGGAGTGCAGTGGTGCAATCATGGCTCACTGCAGCCTTGATCTCTATAGCTCAGGGGATCCTCCCACCTATGCCCCAGAGTAGTAGAACTACAGGTACACGCCACCACATCCAGCTAATTTTTTAATTTTTTTGTAGAGACAGGGTCTCACTATGTTGCCCAGGCTGGTCTCAAGTGAACCTCCCACCTTGGCCTCCCAAAGTGCTGGTATTATTACAACCATGAACCACCATGCCTGGCTGCAGTTTTTCTTTTCAGGGCATTTGATGATTCATATCAAATTATCAGAAAACAGCAGATGTAATCCAAGCACTTTGGGAGGCGAAGGCAAGAAGATCACTTAAGGCCAGGAGTTCAAGGCCATCCTGGACAACATAGTGAGACCCCCATCTCTACAAAAATAAAAAATAAATAAATAATTTCACTAAAAAAAGAAAGAAAGCAGAATGGTGGCTGAGAAAATAGAAAATCAGCAATCTGTATATGACCAGTTGATGCAGTAATTTCAGAAAAATAAGTCTTATTTCAGCCAAATATATATTACTAGCAGCAATGAGAAAGGTATTACCAACCTTTCCAAATGAGCACTCCAATGATATTCAGCCTGATCTTCATTAAGAATAGTCACTTTTCTCCTGAATCATAATCAGAATGGAATATATATATATTGAGAGAGTCTCGCTCTGTCACCCAGGCTAGAGCACAGTGGCACGATCGTGGCTCACTGCAACCTCCACCTCCCAGATGGAGGCAATTCTCCTGCCTCAGCCTCCTGAGTAGCTGGGATTACAGGCATGCAACACCATGCCTGGCTAATTTTTGTATTTTTTAGTAGAGACAGGGTTTCAATTGGCCAGACTGATTAACTCCTGACCTCAGATGATCCACTCACCTCGGCCTCCCAAAGTGCTGGGATTACAGGCATAAGCCACGGTGCCTGGCCCAAAATGGAATATTTTAAAGCCTTAACAAAATAAACATTGTAAGTTAACTTGGTGAATAGTTAAGTAATCAATGATAAAGAACCCTACAAATTGCCAGGTATGGTGGCTCATGCCTGTAATCCCAGCACTTTGGGAGGTCGAGATGGGTGGATGGCTTGAGCTCAGGAGTTAAAAATCAGCCTGAGCAACATGACAAAACCCCATCTCTAAAAAAAATACAAACAAAAAAAAATCAGCCAGTCGTGGTGGCATGCGCCTATAGTCTCAGCTACCCAGAGGCTGAGGGGGGACGATTGCATGAGCCCCAGGAGGTTGAGGCTGTAATGAGCCATGATGACACCACTGCACTCCAGCCTGGGTGACAGAGCAAGACCCTGCCCCCAAAAACAAAACAAAAAATAAAAAACAAACAAACAAACAAACAAAAAACATACAAATCGACCAAAGGCAAGAGAATGCTCTGTTGCATGTGGGTTCTCCAGAAGCAGGTGCTAAGATAAAGTCTGGGGTATAAGATGTTTATTAAGGATCAACACGTGTCAGGCCAGGCACAGTGGCTCATGCCTGTAATCCCATTACTTTGGGAGGCTGAGGCGGGCGGATCATTTGAGGTCAAGAGTTCAAGACCAGCCTAGCCAATATGGCGAAACCCCATCTCTACTAAAAATACAAAAATGAGCCAGGAGTGGTGGCAGGCACCTGTAATCCCAGCTACTCAGGAGCCTGCGGCGGGAGAATCGCTTGAACCTGGGAGGCAGAGTTTGCAGTGAGCTGACATCCCACTGACTATTTCACTAAGAGTGAAACTCTATCTCAAAAAAAAGCAAAAACAAAAACAAAAATTAGTCAGGTGTGGGGAGCTGGGGGGTACAAGGTTGTAGTGAGCAGAGATAGCACCACTGCACTCCAGCCTGGGTGCTAGAGCCAGACCTTGCCTCAAAAAAAAAAAAAAAAAAAGGAAATGGAGTCTTGCTCTGTCACTCAGGCCGGAGTGCAGTGGCACAATCATAGCTCACTGTAGCCTCTATCACCTGGGCTCAACCGATTCTCCTGCCTCAGCCTCCAGAGTAGCTGGGACTATAGGTGCACACCACCACATCTGGCCCAGCTTCTAGAACAGTGCCTGATATATATGGAAATGCAGTACTCTTCATGGAGTAGGTTAATTCCTGAGTAGAAGCATATTGACTTCATTTCTTCACCTTTGTTCCATCCTCCATCTACCCAGGCAACCCTTCTTAGCTAAGGCTATGGATTGGAACACCTACAAGTGGTTTTTCCACGTGGACCTGGGCTTTCTCAAACATGGTGTCTGTGTTCCAAAGGTGAGCATCCCTGAGCGGGGAAAGGGGGGTCAGCCAAAAACTATATGGACTTTCATGACAAGCCTCAGAGATCAAATCTCATCATTTCCATCACATTGTATTTGCTGAGGCAGTTATAAAGATTTTCCCAAGGTCAAAGTTAGGGAACAACCTGTCTCAGTGGAGGAAGGTCAGTGTCACATTATAAAAAGAATATGTGAGATGAGATACATACTATCTGCCATAACACTCAAATTTCACTTGCAGTCATGTTATCAGGCCTCCCCACTCTAACCATGCATTCTTTTTTGTTGTTGGTTTGCTTTGTTTTGTTTTGAAACGGAGTCACTCTGTCACCAAGGCTGGAGTGCAGTGGCGCGATCTCGGCTCACTGCAACCACCACCTCCCAGGTTCAAGCAATTCTCCTGCCTCAGCCTCTCGAATAGCTGGGACTACAGGCAAATGCCACCACACCCGGGTAATTTTTTTTTTTTTTTGTATTATTAGTAGAGACAGGGGTTTCACCATGTTGGCCAGGCTGGTCTCGAACTCCTGACCTCAGATGATCTGCCCACCTCAGTCTCCCAAAGTGCTGGGATTACAGGCAGGCGTGAGCCAGTGTGCCCAGCCATTTTTGTTTATGTTTTGTAGAGACAAGGTCTCACTATGTTGCCCAGGCTGGTCTTGAACTCTTGGACTCAAGCAATCCTTCCTGTTTGGCCTCCCAAAGTGCTGGGATTACAGGCCTTTGCCACCACGCCTGGTGGGAATGCTTATTTCAGCAAGTAGAGGACTCACTTGGGCTCTGGGTGACTCGGAAGCAAAGCCACATACAACTGTCATCACTGTCACCTGTGTCAGCATACTATTTGCATTTGTTTTTTTCTCCTCTTTTCCATTGTTTATTTGTCATACTTACTTGGTTCATGTTATAGAAAATATATTTTCTTGGGAAAGAAGAAGACATTATAGTATAGTGTTAAAACTCCAGGTTTATTTATTTATAAAGAATGATTGTGTCATCATTAGGAATTTTAGTGTGAATTCTATGCTGGGTTGCCCATTTGATAGTAAGTGAATTTCAGATGAAGTCAGTTCTAAGACAATAATTCACTTCTGGGCCCTCAAAGTCAGTGCCCAACTCAGTTCTTTTTAATATCAATGGGATGTATTCATTAGCCAGAGTTAAAATAATCTAAAAACTTCTTCCAACAAAATAATTGGATTGAAATAACATCCAGAGTGGTTAGACTGGAAAAAAAAAGGCATTATTCAATTTCCAAATATAGTACCTTGAATAATAAAATGATCTCATTCTTGTTTTATTGTGGGTATTGCTTCATAATTGTCCTTAATGTTCATTCTTTATTTCTTCTTGGGAAGATCAGAAAGGGGTGACTGAAGTAGAAGCGAAGTCAGCAACTTATCTTCAGGCATAACTACTTTTCCTGTATCCTGAACCCTCGAGAGGGATTTCTGAAGAAAGAAAGAGAAAAATTACACCTTATCCAATGGAATGTAGAGAGTTGGAAATAAAAAGGCCTTAAAAATTGTAACACATATCTTTCTGGCTTATGACCACATTTTCTAACATCTGTTGAGGGACATTTTCTGACCGAAAGGCCTGTCAGTATCAATAAGGAGAGACGCTTTCCTCATTGTTCTAGAATCTACAGTGTCCAGGGTTATTGAAATGCATATATACTGCAGTTCATAGCAAAGGATGGAGAGCGGGAGTGAAGAGGGAAGGGAAAGAGGAGCAGGGATTAAAGTGTGGAGTCGCCCCTGGCCCTGCTTTGAACTCTCACTGGCTTTTTGGAACTTAATCAAGATCAAACAGGCAGTTGCCGCCAGCTCAAGGCCTCTGGTTCTCTATAATTTTTGGAGTAGATTTTGAGGTTACGATTATGACGTTTTGTGGTAACTTTAAACTGGAAAGTATTGCATTCACCTTTTATATTCCCCAAAGAAAGAAGAAATGCCCAGCCATGTAATGAAACTCCTTTCCATCTGACCATTGTGTTAGGAACAGATTTCACACTAAGCAAATCTTTGCAACCAGACTCAAATGTTTCCCATTACAGCCGTGCACAGGTATCAGTGTGCAAGGGGCTGCTGCAGAGTGTGCAATTCTCCCAGCAAAATGCACACACTTGGTGGCTTGGATAGAGTATCAAAATCATATCCACGGTTGAAAATTTGTTTGCACTTGTGATCACCACACCTTAGAGCCCAAACGATAAGAACACAGGCCGGGCGTGGTGGCTCACGCCTGTAATCCCATCGCTTTGGGAGGCCAAGGGGTGGGGGTGGGGGTGGGGGCGCCGATCACGAAGTCAGGAGTTCAAGACCAGCCTGACCAACATAGTGAAACCCCATCTCTACTAAAAATACAAAAATTAGCCAAGCATGGTGGCACACACCTGTAGTCCCAACTACTCGGGAGTCTGAGGCAGGAGAATTGCTTGAACCCGGGAGGCAGAAGTTGTAGTGAGCCAAGATCGCGCCACTGTACTCCAGCCTGGGTGACAGAGCAAGACCCCGTCTCAAAAAATAAATAAATAAATAAATAAATAAGAACACAAATTCCATAAATTGTTTTGAAAAAAAATCTGATTTCACATAACATACATGGCTCAAATTGTTGCAGCCTTAATTCCTTGAATAAGAATTGCTCATTTGCCACGTCTACAACATATCTTACTAGAATCCTTCACAGTTTAGCAACTTGTGCTTCCCTGTAAAACCAGCGCTAAAAAGTGACTTTTTTTTTTTTTGAGATGGAGTCTCGCTCTGTTGCCCAGGCTGGAGTGCACTGGTGAGATCTTGGCTCACTGCAACCTCTGCTTCCTGGGTTCCAGCGATTCTCATGCCTCAGCCTCCCAGGTAGCTGGGACTACAGGCGTGTACCACCATGACTGGCTAGTTTTTGTATTTTTATTAGAGAATTGGTTTCACCATGTTGTCCAGGCTGGTCTCAAACTCTTGACCTCAAGTGATCCACCTGCCTCGGCCTCCCAAAGTGCTGGGATTACAGGTGTGAGCCACCGTGCCTGGCCTCAACAGAAAGTTTCAATCTACCACAATATAATTGTTACCGTGGTTTTAGGGGAAATTTCCTTCCCCTTCACCTTGTCTCAGAGTAACATTAAAAACACTCAGTTCTTATAAAATAGCTACAGACTACAGCCTTTGAAGCCAAATTAAAGCCATGATGTATAACTAAAATAATGCTAATGAGAACAGAAACAATAGCAGTTATAAGATGCTCTTATTGGCCGGGCATGGTGGTTCACGCCTGTAATCCCAGCACTTTGGGAGGCTGAGGCGGATGGATCACCTGAGGTAGGGAGTTCGAGACCAGCCTGGCCAACATGGGGAAACCCCGTCTCTACTGAAAATAAAAATATCAGCTGGGCGTGGTCGCGGGTGCCTGTAATCCCAGCTACTTGGGAGGCTGAGTAACGAGAATCGCTTGAACCCGGGAGGCGGACGTTGTAGTGAGCCAAGATTGGCTACTGCACTCCTGCCTGGGCGACAAGAGCGAGACTCCATCTCACAAAAAAAAAGATACTCTTATCAAAGACTTCAGTAAAGTTCATAAATGGCATCTTATGAATCCTTTTTGAATAGCAGGCATTGTTATCTCCATGTTATCGGATGGGGAACCAAGACATTCAAAGATAACTTGCCAAGGTCATCAGATTCCTCAGAGCCACACCAAAACAGAAAGCCATAATGGTGTATGCTGCCTTGGTCCTCTGGGGTGTGTCTTTTAGAACTTCATGCTGGAGTCCATCTTACATTCTCAACTCAGAAGCCAACTTGGTTTGCATACATACTGGGAGTAACTTTGCTTTTTGTTTGTTTTTTAAGTAGATATGGGGTCTCACTATGTTGCCCAGGCTGGTCTCAAACTCCTATCTTCAAGCCAGCCTTCTGCCTTGGCCTCCCAAAGTACTAGGATTACATTCATAAGCCACCATGCCCACCCTAGGAGTAACTTTGGTACAAAATTGCTGGGCGCAGTGGCTCACGCCTGTAATCCCAGCACTTTGGGAGGCCGAGGCAGGCGGATCACGAGATCAGGAGATCAAGACCATCCTGGCTAACACGGTGAAACCCCGTCTCTACTAAAAGTACAAAAAATTAGCCGGACGTGGTGGCGGGCACCTGTAATCCCAGCTACTTGGGAGGCTGAGGCAGGAGAATGGCGTGAACCCAGGAGGTGGAGCTTGCAGTGAGCCGAGATCGTGCCACTGCACTCCAGCCTGGGCAACTGAGCGAGACTCCGTTTCAAAAAAAGAAAAAAAAAAGAGAAAATTTACTGACCTAGGAAAGAGAGAAAGAGAGAATAGAGAGAGAAAAATAAAGGCTATCTGTGACTCCTCAAAGAAGTTATTTCTATAAATGTCCAATAGGAGATCATTTTCAGAGTCTTTTACAGCTTCAGCATAATTGAGTACAACTTGCATGACTCAAATACACACTTCTATCCTGAAAATATCCTTTTCTATAATAATTTCATATTTTTGTTTCGTTTTGTTTTTAAGACAGGGTTTCTTTCACTCCTGCCACCCAGGCTGGAGTGCAGTGGCGCCATCTTGGCTTACGGCAACTTCTGCCTCCCTGGCTCAAGTGATTCTCCTGCCGTAGCCTCCCAAGTAGCTAGGACCACAGGCACGCGTGCCACCATGCCCAGCTAATTTTTGTATTTTTTGTAAAGACAGGGTTTCACCATGTTGCCCAGGCTGGTCTTGCACTCCTGAACTCAAGCGATCCGCCCACCTTGGCCTCCCAAAATGATGGGATTGCATACGTGAGCCACCAAGCCCAGCCTCGGCATTTTAAATTATGTTGAATACTTTCTCCTGAGATCCCAAATTTGGTACAATAGACATTAATATTTAAAACTGACAGTTGTAGCCGGGTGCGGTGGCTCAGGCCTGTAACCCCAGCACATTGGGAGGCCGAGGCGGGGGGATCACCTGAGGTCAGGAGTTTGAGACCAGCCTGACCAACATGAAGAAACCCCTGTCTCTACTAAAAATACAAAATTAGCTGGGCGTGGTGGTACATGCCTATAATCCCAGCTACTCAGGAGGCTGAGGCAGGAGAATAGCTTGAACCTGGAAGGCGGAGGTTGCGGTGAGCTGAGATGGCGCCATTGCACTCCAGCCTGGGTAACAAGAGCAAAACTCCGTCTCAAAAAAAAAAATAAAATAAAATAAAAAATAAAAATAAATAAATAAATAAATAAATAAATAAATAAAACTGACATTTGTAATTGATTTCAATATGTATTACATCATACTAAATATATCTGCTGTTCTCTTATTGTATATTGATATCAGAAAAGATTACCTGATCTCTTGCTTGAAAAAAAGAAAACATGTAGAATAAACATGCATTTTTTTTTTGAGACAGTTTCACTCTTCCGCCCAAGCTGGAGTACAACAGCACAATCTTGGCTCACTGCAACCTCTGCTTCCCTAGCTCAGGGGATCTTCCAGCCTCAGCCCCCGAAGTAGCTAGGACCATAGGCGCTTGCCCACGCCTGGCTAATTTTTGTAATTTTGGTAGAGACGGAGTTTCACCATGTTGGCCAGGCTGGTCTTGAACTCCTGAGCTCAGGTGATCCACCTACCTGGGCCTCCCAAAGTGCTGGAATTACAGGCATGAGCCACTGTGCCTAGTCAGGAGTTTCTCAGAGTTTGTATGAGATTCATCCAAAGAGCCACTCTTTCTTTTTTATTTTTATTTTTTGTTTTAATTAATTAATTTTTTTTTTTTTGAGACAGAGTCTTACTCTGTTCCCCAGGCTGGAGTGCAGTGGCATGATCTCTGCTCACCGCAACCTCTGCTTCCTGGGTTCAAGTGATTCTCCTGCCTCAGCCTCCTGAGTAGCTGGGATTACAGGCATGTGCCACCATGCCCGGCTAATTTTTGTATTTTTAGTAGAGACAGGGTTTCACCATGTTGGCCAGGCTGGTCTGGAACTCCTAACCTCAAGTGATCCACCCACGTCGGCCTCCCAAAGTGCTGAGATTACAGGTATGAACCAATTTTAATTTAAATATTTTATTTCTTTATGTGTTCAGAGTCAATAAGAATTCTCTTTCTCCTATTCTTTCCCACTTTTTATGGTCCCAATTCCAATCATCCTAGACTACCACCAAAATGTTCACTGGCTCCAGTTTAAGGTGATATTGACCTAGAAGTGTATGCATTATCAATTGTTAGACTTTCGAGGCCTAACAATTTTCCAGGGTCCAAAGGCCATCATTTGTAATGGTAGAATTTCAGCTATGTTGACGGATGGAGCCATTTTTGAAAACCAAGTCAATTCTCTTTAACTCAGGTTACAGAAGGAACTTCTTGTATGTAAGGCAAGTGCTGAATACAGATTTTGATTACTTTTCAGTTTATGTTAAAATTTCAAAGCCTAACAAAGATGAAAAGTCATCTACCAAAGAATGATGAACATTGACTCTCCGAGCCCTTGAATTCTAAACCACAGACTGATTGGAAACCCTTAGACCTCAGCGGCCCCACCCCCTATCGCACCCCCAGTGCTTCCGTTAATTAGTAGGGGTAAAGAGGGAGCCAGAAGGGAAGGGAGAACTGGGGCCTTACAATAGGATCTGTCAGGAGTCTAAGCTCCTCCTCGGAAGAAACCCTCTAGCCACAAGGATTACTGATGCCTGTAATTCTACAATTAAAGAATCATTGTTCTCTTAATAAAATGAAAATACCCTGGTGATAGTTTAAGTCTTACTCCATAACCTAATAGTATATCTCAACACCTACAACAGCAATACTTAGGATGTTTGGCAAAACTCACGATTCCTGGATGTCAACACAGAAATCACTGAATTTCGTCTTTTTTTTTTTTTTTAATTTTTTTTATTTTTATTTTTATTTTTTTGTGTGTGTGTGAGACGGAGTTTCACTCTGTCACCCAGACTGGAGTGCAGTGGCACGATCTTGGCTCACTGCAACTTCCGCCTCCTGGATTCAGGCAATTCTCTAGCCTCAGCCTCCCGAATAGCTTGGATTACAGGAGTGCACCACCATGCCCAGCTAATTTTTGTATTTTAGTAGAGGCAGGGTTTCACCATGTTGGCCAGGCTGATCTTAAACTCCTGACCTCAAGTGATCCGCCCAAACCGACCTCCCAAAATGATGGGATTACAGGCATAAGCCACCACACCCGGCCCAGAAATCACTGAATTTCTAACTCAAATTCTCATTTGATCCTTATGCACAGTGAAGTAGAACGACTTCTGGCTTAGAGCTAGAGAGAAATAAAGAGGAAGCAAGAGTAGAAGATGAAGCCCGGGCAACATAGCAAGACCTCATCTCTACAAAAAAAGAAAATGCATAAAAATTAGCGAGACATGGTGGTGTGCGCCTGTGGTCCCAGCTATTTGGGAAGCTGAGCTGAGAGGATCACAGAAGCCTGGAAAGTCAAGGCTGCAGTGAGCCCTGATCATGCCACTGCACTCCAGCCTGGGCAACAGAGCAAGACTCTGCTTCTAAGAAAAAGAATTGAAGATGTGGGATTGGGGTGAGGGGGATGTGGAATCAAAGATAAACACTCATGAATTATGGTGTATTTGACAATTTAAGCCACTCCTGAAAGGCACCGAGAAGGACCAAAAGGGAAATCAATGAGAAAAAGGAAAGGAAGGGTGCACAAATTTTATGCACCTGGCATGGACTTCTAAAATGTTGTTCTGCATTAAATAGGTCTCTACCACCTCATCAAGGAAAAAGTTTTGGTGTTGCTCTTCTTTCCTTTCCTTATTTCCTTTTTTTTTTTTTTGAGATGGAGTCTCACTCTGTCACCCAGGCTGGCGTGCAATGGCGCAATCTCAGCTCACTGCAACCTCCGCTGCCTCCCGGGCTCAAGCAATTCTCCCACCTCAGCCTCCCAAGTAGCTGGGATTACTAGCACACACCACCATGCCAGCTAATTTTTGTATTTTTGTAGAGACAGGGTTTCGCCAGGTTGGCCAGTCTGGTCTTGAACTCCTGACCTGATGTGATCTGCCCGCCTCAGCCTCCCAAAGTGCTGGGATTACAGGCATGAGCCACCGTGCCTGGCCACCCTTATTTCCTTTTTATTTAAAAAGGTTCCTTTCCATATTTAACATATAGAATTTTGCTTAGGAAATATGGGATTTGTGGAAAGTTAGGAAGGCATTTTTTACAAATAAATGCTGTGTATTAATGAATCCTACATCTTTTCCCACATTTATTTCTTCAAAGATGTCTACAAAGATAGTATTTTTGCAGGTTCTTTTTTTCTACGTAACACCTAACTTTAAAAAGGCAAAATATTATTCACACAAATATCTTTTACTCACTCTACCCAATATTAGAAGCATTATAGGCTCCAAAGACTATCATGATTAACCTTCCTCGAATAAAACTTTAGGGATCTGCTTTGAACCCACAAAAGAAATTAAATGCACAGTTAAGACTGATTTTCATCATCAAGTTGCAACAGGGAATTGTCTTTAAAGCCGTCTCCTGCTGCCTTCATTAGAGTCTTGATCTCTTGCTGCAAATTTATATTCCTTTGTGGGTTTAAGGCAGATATTGGGTATCCTTTTAATTTATTAGGCAAGCTATTGATGAGTCTCATTCTGCCACAAATTCATGAACAATATTCCCGTGGCCACTCTAGTGGGAGTCTTAAGTGAATACAACATCTTCAAGATAAGTGACCATTTTTCACAGGGTAAATGGTATATTAAAAAACCAACATGTGGCCAGGTGCGGTGGCTCACGCCTGTAATACCAGCACTTTGGGAGGCCGAGGCAGGCGGATCACAAAGTCAGGAGTTCAAGACCAGCCCGACCAACATGGTGAAACCCCATCTCTATTAAAAAATATATATATACAAAAATTAGCTGGGTGTAGTGGTTCATGCCTGTAATCCCAGCTACTTGGGAGGCTGAGGCAGGAGACTCACTTGAACCTGGGAGGCAGAGGCTGCAGTGAGCCGAGATCACGCCATTGCACTCCAGTCTGGGCAATAGAGTGAGACTCTGTCTCAAAAAAAAAAAACCCAAAATGTGCAAGTTAAAAACGTGTATCAGCCTCTGCTTTAAGATCCACTTTGAGGCTGGGCACAGTGGCTCACGCCTGTAATCCCAGCACTTTGGGAGGCCAAGGCAGGCAAATCCCTTGAGCTCAGGAGTTTGAGACCAGCCTGGGCAACATGGGGAAACCTCATCTCTATTAAAAATACAAAAATTAGCCAGGCGTAATGGCAGATGCCTGTAATTCCAGCTACTTGGGAGGCTGAGGCAGGAGAAATGCTTGAGCCCGGGAGGCGGAGGTTGCTGTGAGCCGAGATTGCACCACTGCACTCCAGCCTGGGCAACAATAATGAAACTCCATCTCAAAGAGAAAGCAAAACAAAACAAAACAAAAAAACAAGAGTCACTGGGTCTTTTCTAGCTCGGCAGGACGAAGAATGACAACTAACTCTAAAGCATCCATTCCATTCCATATTTATGGAGCATTTGCCAGGCGTTAGGAATTGCACTAGGTGCTAAGAATGCAAAGATCAAGGGCAGGGCGAGGTGGCTCATGCCTATAATCCCAGCACTTTGGGAGGCTGAAGTGGGAGGATTGCTTGAGCCCAGGAGTTCGAGACCAGCCTGGGCAAAGCAGTGAGACCCCCTCATCTCTGAAAAAATAAAAATAAAAAAATAAGAATGCAAAGATCAATAGCATATTGTCCCAGTTCTCACTCACTTGGGTTTGAATCCTACCTCTATTCCTTACTTCTAGTTGGCTTTGGGTAACTTTGACCACTTCAAGCCTTCTTTTCCTCCATTATGAAATGGGGAAAGTAATAGTATCTACTTACAGTAGATATCCCATGAGCATTTGTTGGAAAAAATTGTGTCTACTAAGTGAGAATCTTAATAAGTAAAATGAAGTTACATTTATTGATCTCCTCCTCTATGCCAGGCACGGAGCTTAGTGTTTCACATACATTATTTTCATTTCTACAACAACTGTCAAGGTGGGGGAAACAAGCAGTTATAATACAACGTGGTAAGAGCTATACTAGTGGCACCTGCAAACTGTGATGAGAACACAGTGGGGAGGCATTAGCTTTTTCTAGGGAACCCCATAGAGACTTCACAGAGAAGATAGGGAAGATTTCATAACAACAATAATAATAACAGCAGTAGCTAACAGCCATGGAGAACTCATTCAGCACCAGGCCCTGAGCCACAATACACGCCTTCAGTCAACGAGCACTCCCTGAGCCTTCCTCCTCGAGGTCTTAGCTCCCAGAGAGGGATGTGGTCCTATCATCCCATTTTGTAGAGAAAGAAACTAACCTTTAGAGTTGCTAAATAACGTGCCCAAGGTCACCCAGCTGGTAACGGTCAGGGTCAGGATCCAAACCTGAGTGTGCCTGATTGCAAAGCCCACACGCCGAGGAATGGTGCCTTCCTCCCTTTATGAATGTATGGCTTTATTAAGAGCTAACCAGCACACAGCAGCTGCGCAAATGACAAATTTGTGCGCTAACATCCAACAGACTGTAGCCTCCTTGGGGGAACTGTGCAGAACAGAGCCTGATACTGAAGGCGCTTAATTCTTTGGGAAGTCCAGCGTGTTTGATTCCAGCTGTACAGCCCCAGCTCAGAGGAGCTGGGGACAAAGGGCTCCATCCTGGGACTGGGGGAGGTGGCTGAGGTGAATAAAGTGCTGTCGAGAAATCAACTGCATGGCCTTGAGAGATGAGTTAACCCTTTCAAGACACCAGGCTAATATTTGGTTTAATTATCTCTTCCAAGGTAGTAAATGACACTCCAATGGTCTCAGTAAATTTATCTCTCAAATGGGAGCCATTTACTAACCTACTTCAGGCCTCAACCCTTCTGTCTTAGACAGCTTCTCTTTAAAAGGCCAGTTGTAAGCAAGTTCTCTACTTGCCTGCTTTAAAGAGAGTGGAAAGAAGTCCCTAAAACTTCCCAAGATTACTTTTAATTAAAAGGATACAAATCCTTATTTTTTCCCATTTCTCCAACCTTCTGTGCTGAGGGGGGAGATGAGATATTTAGCAAATAAAAGGAGACCTTTTCTTCGAATTTCAGAGCTGTTCAATTATAAACACGGCTGCCTGCGAAGTTGGAAATCAATTCAACTGCAATCTTCTTTAAAGCTTTTTAAATGCAACTGCTAACCTGTCTAGATGTTTAACTTTCAGGTTTCAAAACCTGTCAGTTAAAACTTGCTTACTGTTACTCCTTTTCTCTGAAGCTACCAGCCAGAAGAGAAATTATGTAGCAAATTGGAAACAAGGAACTAAGACTTGATAGCAACACAAAAGGCTAGCTGACGGGCTGGAGTGCAAGACACTACAATTCTTGCTCTGAAAATGAATAAGGATTAGAGGGCTCATCTACTGGCGGCCTCTAATGAGGTTGCGCCTTCTCAGTTCTGAAACAAGCAGTCAATTGATCCCTTCACAAGAACACCTGGTCTATTTCGAGAAGGAAAAAATTAGTGAAACCTGTTGTTGGCTGAGTTTACCAGTCAATTCTGTTAAATTGTGGCATTGGTAGCAATAGGGAGGCATGGTTCATTAAAAATACCATTCGGGGAAATCCTAAGGCAATGGGATAGTGATTACTGAACTAATTCTATTGGCCTGAAAGAGTTAATTCAGCTCCTAAAGGGAAGCAATTTACTTTCTATTCCCCCCGAGGATGGACCAGGCTCTTAAGGAGTTTCATACAATGAGGCTGTTTTTTACCACCCCTCCCCTCCACTCCCCTCACGTAAAGTCCCCCTGACAGTTGTCAAGCCCAAGATGAAGATGGGGTGTACTGGCAGGGTCACCTGGCATTACTCACATGGGCCCCTCTCAGGCAGCCTGGGTAATGCTGAATAAATCCATGCATGCAAGGAAAGGGCACAAGGACAAATCCTCTGACTTTGTGTGTCTGGATTCTAAACACCTACCCAAATTCTAAGCAGCACAGCCAGATAAATCCATCAACCAGGGTGGCTAAGGGATACCTAATTTATATGCAACCTTGGCAGTGTATCACTGGGCCCAAAGTGCCAGTGTAAACAGTTCTGGACAGGCCCCCATCCTGCTTCAGCAGAGAACAGACACCATCCTCCTGGACCACAAAGGTCCTCATTGCAAATGAAAAGGCGGGAGGGGGTCACGTTCAGGAGAGCAGAGTTAAATGAATAACACATGCCCTTCCAGATACGTGTGTGTGCTTTTTAATAATTAATTATGAAAAGTGTCAAACATAGATCAAAATAGCTATCATATAATGAAACCCCTATGCACCCGTGACACAGCTGCAACAATTAATAACTTATGGCCCATCTTATTTCAACTGGACCCCACCCACTCACCCCACGACAATGTTATCTTGAAGCAATCCCCAGACTTCTTATAATTTCATCCATAAATATTTTCAAAATATTTCTAAAAAATCAGATCTCTCTCTTTTTTAAAAAACAAACCTAAAATAATTACTACCCCTAAAAAAAAAAAAAAAGAAAGAAACAACCAGGCCAGGCTCAGTGGCTCATGCCTGTAATCCCAGCACTTTGGGACGCCTAGGTAGGAGGAACACTTGAGGCCAGGAGTTTCAGACCAGCCTGGACGACATAGTGAGACCCCATCTCTACTAAAAAATAGAAAATGAGCTGGATGTAGCGTCACGTGCCTGTAGTCCCAGCTACTCAGGAGACTGGGGTGGGAGGATTACTTAAGCCCAGGAGGTCAAGGCAGCAATGAGCCATGATCCCGCCACTGCGCTCCAGCCTGGGTGACAGAGTTATTTCTTGTCTCTAGGAGAGTAAAAAAGGCCAGGCAAATGGCTCACACCTGAAATACCAGCACTTTGGGAGGCCGAGGTGGGTAGATCACAAGGTCAGGAGTTCGAGACCAGCCTGGCCAACATGGTGAAACCCCATCTCTACTAAAAATACAAAAAAATTATGTGGGCGTGGTGGCACACACCTGTAATCCCAGCTACTCAGGAGGCTGAGGTAGGAGAATTGCTTGAACCCGGGAGGTGGATGCTGCTGTGAACCGAGATCATGCCACTGCACTCCAGTCTGGGCAACAGAGTGAGACTCCATCTCAAAAAATAAATAAGTTAAATAAAATTAAAAAATACAGCTGGGCACGGTGGCTCACGCCTGTAATCCCAGCACTTTGGGAGGCCAATGCGGACAGATCATGAGGTCAGGAGATTGAGACCATCCTGGCTAACACAGTGAAACCCCATCTCTACTAAAAATACAAAAAAATTAGCTGGGCATGGTGGCAGGTGCCTATAGTCCCAGCTAGTCGGGAGGCTGAGGCAGGATAATGGCGTGAACCTGGGAGGCAGAGCTTGCAGTGAGCCGAGATTGCACCACTGCACTCCAGCCTGGGCGACAGAGCGAGACTCCATCTCAAAATAAAATAAAATAAAATAAAATAAAAAATACAAAAATACAAAAAAATTAACCAGGTATGCTGGCACTTGCCTGTAGTCCCAGCTACTCGGGAGGCTGAGGCAGGAGGATTGCTTGAACCCAGGAGGCGAAGGTTGCAGTGAGCTAAGATCGCACCACTGCACTCCAGCCTGGGTGACAGAGCGAGACTCCATCTCAAAAGAAAAAAAAAACAACAGCAAACCCTTTTGACACATGCTACAACATGAATGAACATTGAGGACACTGTGCTGAATGAAATAAACCAGACATAAAAGGACAAATATAGTCTGCTTCCACTCATATGAGGTATCTGGAGTAGTAAATTCATAAAGACAGATAATTGAATGGTGGTTGCCAGGAGCTGGAGAGAGGAGGGAATGGGCAGTTAGTATTTAGTGGACACAGAGTTTCGATTTTGGAAAATGAAAACCATTCTGCCATTGGATGGAGGTGATGGTCGCACAATAATGTGAATGGACTTAATGTCACTGGACTGTACACTTGAACATGATTTAAATGGCTGGACGCGGTGGCTCACACCTGTAATCCCAGCACTTTGGGAGGCTGAGGCAGGCGGATCACCTGAGGTTGGGAGTTCAAGACCACCCTGACCAACATGGAGAAACCCGTCTCTACTAAAAATACAAAATTAGCTGGATTTGGTGGCCGGTAATCCCAGCTGCTCGGGAGGCTGAGGCAGGAGAATTGCTTGAACCCAGGAGGAGGAGGTTGTGGTGAGCCGGAGATCGCACCATTGCACTCCAGCCTGGGCAACAAAAGTGAAACTCTGTCTCAAAAAAAAAAAAAAAAAAAAAGATTAAGATGGTGGCCGGTAGCAGTGGCTCATGCCTATAATCCCAGCATTTTGGAAGGCCAAGACAGGCGGATCACCTGAGGTCAGGAGTTCGAGACCAGCCTAGCTAACATGGTGAAACCCCGTCTCTACCAAAAATACAAAAATTAGCTGGGCGTGGTGGCGGGCTCCTGTAATCCCAGCTATTCAGGAGGCTGAGGCAGGAGAATTGCTTGAACCCGGGAGGCAGAGGTTGTAGTGAGCCGAGATCATGCCACTGCACTCCAGCCTGGGCAACAAGGGCAAAACTCTGTCTCAAAAAAAAAAAAAAATATATATATATATATATACAAAAATTAGGCAGGCATGGTAGTGCGCACCTGTAATCCCAGCTACTCAGGAGGCTGAGGCAGGAGACTTGCCTGAGCCTGGGAGGCAGAGGTTGCAGTGAGCTGAAATCAAACCACTGCACTCCAGCCTGGGTGACAGAGCAAGACTGTCTCAAAAAAAAAAAAAAAAGGATAAAATGGTAAAATTTATGTTGTGTGTTTATATTTGGCCACAAATTTTTAAATGGTAGGGGTTTTTTTTTTAACAAAAAAACTTTCATATCATAAACTATTCACTAAGTGTTGAAATTTTCTCATAAATATCAAAAATTTTGTTCAGTTTGCTTGCATCAGAAGCCACATAAGGTTCACGTACTGTGGCTGGTGAGCAGGTCTTTTAAAAACCTACATATTCCCTGCCAGCCTCCTGCTTTTCCCCATTACAATTTATTCATGGAAAAACTTTTCCTGTAAAGTTTTCCACAGTAAATAGTTAGCTCCTCACACACATCCTTATGGGGTCTTCTCTGTTTTTCTCTTTTTTTTTTTTTTTTTTTTTTGAGTCCTGCTCTGTCATCCAGGCTGGAGTGCAGTGGTGTGATCTCGGCTCACTGCAATCTCCAACTCCCAGGTTCAAGCGATTCTCCTGCCTCGGCCTCCCGAGTAGCTGGGATTACAGGCATGCACAACCACACCTGGCTAATTTTTTTTTTTTTTTTTTTTTTTGTATTTTCAGTACAGATGTGGCTTTCACCATGTTGGCCTGGCTGTCCTCAAACTCCTGGACTCAATCAATCTGCCCACCTTGGCCTCCCAGAGTATAGGATTATACGCATAAGCCACAGTGCCCTACCTTTGTCTTCTTGAATACTGAAAGTTAAATCAAGAGACCAGCTCAGATTCAAGTTTGATGTTTTTGGCAAGACCACTGCCTAAGTCCAACTACGCCACTGTAAGAGTATATGAGTGGCCCAAAATGTGAGTGTGCAAAATTCATCAACAAACTATGATGAGCAACCCAGTCCATGCTCCCACCATCAGTGGTCTTAGAACAGGGGTAGGAGGAATGAGAGGAAATATCCACACACACACGCACAAAATTTGTTTCTGGTTTTTTTTGGGTTTTTTTTTTTTTTTTAAGACGAGGTTTCACTCTGTCGCCCAGGCTGGAATACAGAGGCACAATCTTGGTTCACTGCAGCCTCAAACTCCCTGGGCTCAGGTGATCCTCCTGCTTCAGTCTCCCAAGTAGCTAGAACTATAGGTAAGTGCCACCACACCAGGTAAATTTATTGTATTTTTTTGGTGTTATATTTTTCGTGTAGAGACAGGGTTTAACAATATTGCCCAGACTAAAACAAAAAAACATTTTAAGACAAAATCTTTGTCATCAAGGAACCTGAAATCTTGTTAAGATGGCAAAACTGATACATGCAGAACAATTAATAATTAAGTGCAGGCCAGGCATGGTGGCTCACGCCTGTAATCCCAGCACTTTTGGGAGGCCAAGGTGGGCAGATCACCTGAGGTCGGGAGTTGGAGACCAGCCTGGCCAACATGATGAAACGCTGTCTCTACTAAAAGTACAAAAAAAAAAATTAGCCAGTTGTGGTGGTACATGCCTGTAATCCCAGCTACTCGGAAGGCGGAGGCAGGAGAATCGTTTGAACCCAGGAGGTGGAGTTGGCAGTGAGCCGAGATCGCGCCACTGCACTCAAGCCTGGGCAACAGAGCCAGACTCTGGCTCAAAAATAATAATAATAAAGTGCAAAACTGCTATGACTATCAAACCCTATGTCATTCTAAGGGTGAGATCATCTAAGAAGGTTTTAGGTCGTATAAAGTTCCTGAAATGGATCTTGAAGGATTGTTAGATTTTTGGAAGAAAGAAGGCATTCTAGGAAGTGAAAACTATACAAAGAAAAGCACAAAGGTTGGCATTTGGAGGCGGATAGAGAGGATAATTTAAACAGACTGAGAAAGATAATATAGGGGAATGAAAAGTCAACAGAGAAATAAGCGTTGGAAGAAGCCCACTGATCTCTAGAGATTAAGAATCAGTTGTTACTTATGTTTTGGCATGCACACTTAGGCAAAATTCTAAAGGCCTATAAATATTGTGGGTGTTTTGAGGATCTGATGTCTAATATATTTTAATAGAAGAATTGAGGTGTTATCTGAATGAAATCTTTTCCAGCTGAGTTCATCCTTTCTAGAGACGAAACACATTAAACTTTTTTTCATGAAAAATACAGTTAGAACTTGTAAAATGTTGGGGGTGAAGGGTGGAGGAAATGTACATGAAAAAGATGGAAAAAGAGTTGGTAATTGTTGAAGCTGAGTGATGGGTATATAGGGCTCATTATGCTGTTCTCCCTACTTTTGAGTATGTTTGAAACTTCCATAATAAAAAGTTATTTGTAAACCTATTGCTATTGGGGTCAAGGGTCCTTCCCACGTTCCATGTTTCCCATGTTATAGGAAAAAAAAGACTCACTAGACCGGAAGATGCGGTGCTTGTCTCTTCTGTTGTCAGGCTGTTTAACTCTGAGCCAATTACTTCACCTTTGTGGGTCTCAATTCCCTTCTCTGTAAAATGAAGGGAAAAAGGAAAAGAACTACTGCTTATTGAATGCCTACTATGTGCAAGAATTTTGCGGTGCACTTTATACACACGCTGCAAGTACCAACAGGATGGACGCAATGTTCTCCTTAGTCTCCAAAGTTTCTTTCCCTCTCTAGGCGTCCAGGAATTATCCACTTAACTTCAGTTCGTGATTGGATAAACCCATGTGGCGAATGCCTGGCAAGTCTGAGGAGACATACAGATAAAAAAGACAGTTCCTGTCTTCAACGACTTTGTTATCTAGAAGGACAGCTAGGACAAATGAGTGTAATACAACTGATCAATGTTATAATAACTGTTATAACAACTAAATAGGAAAGATACTAAATGTTTTACCTTACATGTAGTGTGCATCCCTACAATATGAGAAAATGATGCAATGGTGTACTGATAGAACCAGATGGTGCTGGGTGGGGGTCCTGTAAGAGGAACACTCATCCCCTAATGAGGGGATCAGAAGGTTTCATAGAGGAGACAGTGTCTGTGTTACGTTTTTTAAAAAATAAACTTGTTGCTGGGCATGGTGGCTCACACCTGTAATCCCAGCACTTTGGGAGGCTGAGGCAGGTGGATCGCGAGGTCAGGAGATCGAGACCATCCTGGCTAACACTGTGAAACCCTGTCTCTACTAAAAGTACAAAAAAAAAAATTAGCCAGGCATGGTGGCGGGCGCCTGTAGTCCCAGCTACTCGGGAGGCTGAGGGAGGAGAATGGCATGAACCCAGGAGGTGGAGCCTGAAGTGAGCCGAGATCATGCCACTGTAATCCAGCTTGGGCGACAGAGCAAGACTCTGTCACAAAAAAATAAATAAATAAATAAATAAATAAATAAATAAAAATAAACTTGTTGGCCGGGTGCGGTGGCTCATGCCTGTTATCCCAGCACTTTGCGAGGCTGAGGTGGGTGGATCACCTGAGGTCAGGAGTTCGAGACCAACCTGGGCAACATGGTAAAACCGTGTCTCTACTAAAAATACAAAAATTAGCCAGGCATGGTGGCACTTGCCTGTAATCCCAGCTACTCGGGAGGCTGAGGCACAAGAATTGCTTGAATCTGGGAGGCAGAGGTTGCAGTGAGCTGAGATAGCACCAGTGTACTCCAGCCTGGGCAACAGAGTGAGACTCCATCTCAAATAAATAAATTAATTAAATGAGCCAGGTGCAGTGGCTCATACCTGTAATCCTAGCACTTTGGGAGGTCGAGGCGGGTGGATCACCTGAGGTCAAGAGTTTGAGACCAGCCTGGCTAACATGGGGAAACTCCATCTCTACTAAAAATACAAAAAAATTAGCTGGTTGTGGTAGTGGGCGTCTGTAATCCCAGCTACTTGGGAGGCTAAGGCAGGAGAATCACTTGAAACTGGGAGGCAGAGGTTGCAGTGAGCTGAGATCACGCCACTGCAGCCTGGGCAACAGAGGCAGACTCTGCCTCAAAAAAAAAATAAATGGATAAATAAAAATTAAAATAAATAAATAAAATGCAATTATACAGTATTTGTCCTTTATTGTCTGGCTTCTTTCACTTAGCATAATCCCCTCAAGGTTCATCTATGTTGTAACACATGCCAGAATGGCCTTCCTTTTTAAGGCTGAATAATATTCCATTGGATGAATATACATTTTATTTATCCATTCATTCATTGATGACCACTTGGGTGGCTTCAACCTTTTGGCTATTATGAATAAAGCTGCTGTGAAGACAAGTGTATAAAAATCTGTTTGTGGCCGAGCGCGGTGGCTCACGCCTGTAATCCCAGCACTTTAGGAGGCAGAGGCGGGCATATCACCAGGTCAAGAGATCGATATCATCCTGGGCTAACATGGTGAAACCCTCCTCTCTACTAAAACACAGACAAAAAATTAGCTGGGCATGGTGGTGTGTGCCTGTAGTTCCAGCTACTTGGGAGACTGAGGCAGGGGAATCACCTGAACCAGAGAGGCAGAGGTTGCAGTGAGCTGGGATCGCGCCACTGCACTCCTGGCAACACAGCGAGACTCCATCTCAGAAAAAAACAAAAAACAAAACAAAACAAAAACCGGGGGCTGAGCTCAGTGGCTCACGCCTGTAATCCCAGCACTTTGGGAAGCCAAGGTGGGCAGATCACCTGAGGTCAGGAGTTTGAGACCAGCCTGGCCAACATGCTGAAACCCCATCTCTACTAAAAATATAAGAATTAGCCATGCCTGTAATCCCAGCTACTCAGGAGGCTGAGACAGGAAAATCACTTGAACCCAGGAGGTGGAGGCTGAAGTGAGCCAAGATTGTGCCACTGCACTCCAGACTGGGCCACAGAGCAAGACTCGGTCTCAAAAAAAAAAAAAAAAAAAAAAAAAATCTGTGTTCCTACTTTCAGTTCTTTTGGGTATATACTATGATAAGTCTTGAAGAATGAGAAGGAATTAAGTCAAAAGGGAAAGATAAGCAGTCCAAGAAGAGTGAGTAACTTGTGTAAAGGCACAGGGAGCTATAGTTCAGTTGGCTGTAGAACAGAGAGAGAGGATACGTGCTGAGACAGGAAACTGCAGAGAGAGGCAGGCGCTAGACCTTGAGGGACCTTGTGTGAGAATGGACAGTGAGGGCTAAAAGCAGCCTCAGGTCAAATCCCTGTTTACACTGCTAATGTTGTTTTCTTTTTAACTTCTAAAAAATATTTTAGGCTGGGCACGCCTATAATCCCATCACTTAGGAAGGCCGAGGTGGGTGGATCACCTAAGGTCAGGAGTTTGAGACCAGCCTGACCAATATAGTGAAAGCCCATTTCTACTAAAAATACAAAAATTATCCGGGCATGGTGGCGTGCGCCTGTAGTCCCAGCTACTTGGGAGGCTGAGACAGGATAATTGCTTGAACTCAGGAGGTGGAGGTTGCAGTGAGCTGAGATTGTGCCACTGCCCTCCAGCCTGGGCAATAGAGCAAAATTCCATCTCAAAAAAAAAAAAAAGTATATATATATACACACACACACACACATAAATACACACACGCACACACACGCACATATTTAATCTTTATTCTTTTGTAAAATGTAGAGATTGAATCTCACTATGTTGCTGCCCAGGCTGGTCTCAAACTCATGGCCTCAAGGGATCCTCCTGCCTCAGCCTCCCAAAGTGCTGGGATTACAGGTGTGAAGCAGCACACCTGGCCTTCACTGCTTTTTTTTTTTTTTTTTTTTTTTAAGACAAAGTCTCACTTTCTCATGCAGGCTGGAGGGCAGTGGCACCATTTGGGCTCACTGCAGCCTCGACAACCTGGGCTCAAGTGATCCTCCTACCTCAACCTCCTAAGTAGCTGGGACTACAGGGGCCTGCCACCACACCTGGCTGCTTTCTGTATTTTTTGTAGTGACAGGTCCTCGCCATGTTGCCCAGGCTGGTCTCGAACTCATGAGCTCAAGCCATTCACTTGCCTCAGCTTCCCAAAGTGTTAAGATTACAAGCATGAACCACTGTGCCTGGCCTCACTGCTATTCTTAAAGTGACCACTGTAATGTACCTTTAAGCAACTACTCAAAAACAATGTTTTTCCAGCAAAAAGGTTGGGACCTAATGCAAATGATCACTAGAACATGAACACACATCGTTGTGACCCGAGTCTTATGTTTCCCTCACAATAGTCCCCCTCGCTCTACAGAAGTTCAATTAATAGTAGTGGAATGCTAAATTGACTAATTACTTATGGTCAATGGATCTGTGCTATTTCACAAAATCTTTTGCTCAATATAGTATTCTCTAATGCATTGCTTTTATTTGACTGAATTCTTTTCAGAATCAACTAAGCCAGAGCACAAATCCGATTATGAGATTGTACATTTAACTCTCCAGCTGACTTTCTCTGTAAGGCAGGATGAATCCCTTCAGTCATGTTGAAAATGGTGCCAAGTGGCCGGGAGCGGTGGCTCACGCCTGTAATCCCAGCACTTTAGGAGGCCAAGGCGGGCAGATCACGAGGTCAGGAGATCGAGACCATCCTGGCTAACATGGTGAAACCCCGTTTCTACTAAAAATACAAAAAAATTAGCCAGGCTTGGTGGCGGGCACCTGTAGTCCCAGCTACTCAGGAGGCTGAGGCAGGAGAATGGCGTGAACCTGGGAGGCAGAGGTTGCAGTGAGCCGAGATCACACCATTGCACTCCAGCGTGGGCGACAGAGCAAGACTCCGTCTCAAAAAAGAGAGAGAAAATGGTGCCAAGTAAACTCTTGGACCCACACAGATATGAATTGATTTTATGACAGTGCAACCAAGGCTCCCATAATCTATTTATTTCTATAATTAGTATTTTTTTTTTTTTTGAGATGGAGTCTCGATCTGTCGCCCATGCTGGAATGCAGTGGCGCGATCTCAGCTCACTGCAGCCTCTGCCTCCCAGGTTCAAGCAATTCTCCTGCCTCAGCTTCCTGTGTAGCTGCGACTACAGGTGCCGGCCACCATGCACAGCTAAATTTTTTTGTATTTTTAGTAGATATGGGGTTTCACCATGTTGGTCAGGCTGGTCTCAAACTCCCGACCTTAGGTGATCCACCCGCCTCAGCCTCCCAAAGTTTTGGGATTACAGGCGTGAGCCACCGCGCTCAGTTTATAATTAGTCTTAATCCCATGTGAACCCAGTTGCATTGTAGAGAAATAGATGGCAAGCTCTGAGTGTGTGTGTGTCTGTGTGTATGTGTGTGTAGCACAGTTTAATACTGGTAGTATTTGGGTATTTCTCACAATGTTAAGGAACGCTGTAGCATCACAAATGGACAAGCACTTCTCACAAGAGGATCCATGAATAATGTCCATGTGTTCTTCAGGTAGTTTCACTTTTCTGGAATTTATGTTTATGCTTTTGCTTATCAAGTGAAATAATAGTAAAAGTTAAGAACCACTGTGTTAGGCCAGGCGCAGTGGCTCACGCCTGTAATCCCAACACTTTGGGAGGCTGAGGCAGTTGGATCACCTGAGGTTGGGAGTTCGAGACCAGCCTAGTCAACATGGTGAAACCCCCGACTGTACCAAAAATACAAAAATTAGCTGGGGATGGGGGCGGCCGCCTGTAATCCCAGCTACTCAGGGGGCTGAGGCAGGAGAATCGCTTGAACCCGGGAGGGAGAGGTTGCAGTGAGCCGAAATTGTGCCACTGCACTCCAGCCTGGGTGACAGAGTGAGACCCCGTCTCAAAAACAAAAAAAAAAGAACCACTGTGTTGATTTTTCAACAAAAGTCACTTGTCAGATGGAGGTTTGCTTTGTCTGTACGTGTGTGTGGTGGTGGGAAGGTGGGGATGCGTGGGGTCACTTCAGTTGGTGATGAGTAAGATGGTTCACAGATCCAAAATGCCATAAAACCAGAGCTCTGGGCTGGATCTCTTCAAACATTGCTCCCAAAGTAGCCAGAGTCTAAAGTGACCTCAGATATCAGGTAGCAATACAAAAAGTCAGCAATATGAACTGGGACCAAGGCAGGAGGGACGTCCCCAGACACTTTGATCAAGGCCCAGTGGTCGTGGCAAAAGACAGCCTGGTCCTCCTGCTTTAGGGACCAATCACTGCACACATGAAGTTTGATCTTCATCTCTCAGGATCATGAAGTTTTTTTTTTTTTTTTTTCAAATGAGTTGGTTTGATTCCAGGTGATACAGAAATTAGAGTAGAACAAAAACCAGAGCAGCTGAGCAAATTCACAGCTAAGGTAGGAATGGCTGAGTGAAAAATCTGAAGAGATCATGAGCCACTATAATATATATATATATATTTTTAACAAAAGTTTATTTTTAAATGGACCACACGGGCCAGATGTGGTGGCTTATACCTGTAATCCCAGCACTTTGGGAGGCTGAAGCAGGTGGATCATTTGAGCTCAGGAGTTCAAGACCAGCCTGGGCGACATGGTGAGACCTCGTCTCTACTAAAAATACAAAAAAATTAGCCAGGCCTCATGGCACACACCTGTAGTCCCAGCTACTTGGGAAGCTGAGGTAGGAGAATCACTTGAACCCGGGAAACGGAGGTTTCAGTGAGCCAAAACAGAGGGAGATTTGTCTCAAAAAAAAAAAAAAAAAAGGACCACAGGCTGCAAGATAACACTTTATTCTAGATGTAGGTGGCAAAGGATGTTATACTAGGGAATCCAGATATTTAATTTTATTTAATATTTTTTCTTTTAATTTTTTTTTGGTTTTTTTTTTTTTTTTTTGAGATGGAGTCTTGCTCTGTCTCCCAGGCTGGAGTGCAGCCTTGGCCTCCCAAAGTGCTGTCATTACAGGTGTGAGCCACTAAGCCCAGACTTTATTTTTTTAATTCTATTTTGAGACAAGGTCTGGCTCTATCACCCAGGCTAAAGCGCAGTGGAGTGATCTTGGCTCACTGCAACCTCTGCCCCCTGGGCTCAAGCAATCCTTTCACCTCAGCTTCCTGAGTAGCTGGGACTACAGGTGCACACAACCACGCCCAAATAATTTTTGTATTTTTTGTAAAGACAAAGTTTTGCCATTTTGCCCAGGCTGGTCTCGAACTCCTGGCCTCAAGCAACCTGTCCACCTCAGCCTCCCAAAGTGCTGGGATTAGAGGCGTGAGCCACTGTGACCAGCCTCCTTCTTCTTCTTTTTTTTTTTTTTTTTTTTTGAGATGGAGTCTCCCTTTGTCTCCCAGGCTGGAGTGCAGCAGCGAGATCTCAGCTCACCGCAACGTCCGCCTCCCGGGTTCAAGTGTTTCTCCTGCCTCAGCCTCCCAGGCACCCACCATCATACCCAGCTAATTTTTGTATTTTTAGTAGAGACAGGGTTTCACCCTGTTGGCCAGGCTGGTCTGGAACTCCTGACCTCAAGTGATCCGCCCACCTCAGCCTCCCACAGTGCTGGGATTACAGGCATGAGCCAGGGTGCCAGGCCGCTCCTTGTGTCTTAAAATCAACTCTGAGGTGTATGGGTGATAAGAAGAATTCATATTTATCATACTCTCTTTTATTCAATTTAAATGTGTTGCTAAGTATTATATACTGTATTTGCTTAGGATTTAAGTTCAATTGTATATAACAGAACTTCATCTCCCCCCTGCCCTGCCAAAAAAAAAAAAAAAAAGGCATACATGAGACAGTAGCTTATTTCAGCCTCAGATATAAGCATGACTGTTGGCACTTGGGGTGGTGGAGTGGCCCCAGTTGCCATTCTGCCACCCACAGGTGTTGGCCTGCCACATGAGTGAAGATGGCTCAACACTGAGGCCCTGTTCCAAGTCACAGGGGAGAGGGAGGTTGGTGAAAGAGGAATACCACCTCTCTTTAAGGGTGCATTCCAGAAGTGGCACTTCCAATGGCCACAATTAATCACATGGCCATAAGCAACTGCAAAGATTGCTGGAAATGTAGCCATTATGAGTGACAACGGGGTTCTCTGACAAGGAAGAAGGGCAGAGAAGTCATTAGCGGACTAGCAATCTCTGCAAATATGTTTTATCTTTTTCTAAAAAAGGAAAAAAACGAAAAAGAAAATGTAGTTCTAAAAGAGAACCCCCCCCCCACTCCACATTTTACCTGGTGGTGGATTCCCCCTCCTCCCCGTTTCAACCTAAAAGTCATTTCCTCAGAGAACCTGCCTTGGGTTTTCCCCTTTCTTCCTTTCACCATCTCTGGCCCCCTTTGAGATGAGATCTCTGTTATTCTCTGTCAACAGCATTTCTCTTCAGAGCACTTACCATCAGTGACATGAATGACTCACTATTATGACTACATGTATGATGTCTGGCTCCTGAACTGCACTCAGAGCTTTGTAAGGACAGGTATTGAACCTGCCCAATTCACAGGTGCCCCTTGGCAAAGTCTCTAGCCAAATCTCTCTGCTGGGCACGGTAGCTCACACCTGTAATCCCAGAACTTTGGGAGGCTGAGGCAGGTGTATCACCTGAGGCCAGGAGTTCAAGACCAGCCTGGCCAGTATGGTGAAACCACATCTCTACTAAAAATACAAAAATTAGCCAGGTGTGGTGGCATGCGCCTGTAATCCCAGCTACTTTGGAGGCTGAGGCAGGAAAATCACTTGAACCTGGGAGGCAGAGATTGCAGTGAGCTAAGACCACGCCATTGCATCCCAGCCTGGGCAACAAGAACAAAACTCCATCAAGGAAGGAAGGAAGGAAGGAAGGAAGGAAGGAAGGAAGGAAGGAAGGAGGGAGGGAGGGAGGGAGGGAGGGAGGGAGGGAGGGAGGGAGGGAGGAAAGGAAGGAAGGAAGGAAGGAAGGAGCCAGACGAGGTGGCTCATGCCTGTAATCCCAGCTCTTTGGGAGGCCGAGGCGGGGAGGCAGAGGTTGCAGTGTGCTGAGACCACCCCATTGCACCCCAGCATGGGCAACAAGAACAAAACTCCATCAAGAAAGGAAGGAAGGAAGGAAGGAAGGAAGGAAGGAAGGAAGGAAGGAAGGAAGGAGTGAGCCGGACGCGGTGGCTCATGCCTGTAATCCCAGCTCTTTGGGAAGCTGAGGTGGGCGGATCATGAGGTCCAGAGATCGAAACCATCCTGGCTAACATGGTGAAACCCTGTCTCTACTAAAAATACAAAAAATTAGCTGGGCATGGTGGCGGTCGCCATAGTCCCAGCTACTCAGGAGGCTGAGGCAGGAGAATGGCGTGAACCCGGGAGGCAGAGCTTGCAGTGAGCCGAGATATCACCACTGCATTCCAGCCTGGGCGACAGAGTGAGACTCCATCTCAAAAAAAAAAAAAAAAAAAAAGGAAGGAAGGAAAAAGAAAGGGAAGGAAGGAAGGAAGGAAAAGAAAGAAAGAAAGAAAGACAAAGAAAGAAAGAAAGAAAAAGAGAGAAAGAAAGAGAGAGAAAGAAAGAAAAAAGTTATGGTGTTCACAAAAAGATTCTCAATTATGGACATAACCAATTTGCTTGAATTCATTTTGATTTTAAAAATAAATAGGCCAGGCATGGTGGCTCACACCTGTAATCCCAGTACTGTGGGAGGCCAAGGTGGGTGGATCACGAGGTCAGGAGTTCGAGACCAGCCTGGCTAACATGGTGAAACCCCATCTCCACTAAAAGTACAAAAAGTAGCTGGGCATGGTGGTGAGCACCTGTAATCCCAGCTACTCAGGAGGCTGAGGCAGGAGAATTACTTGAACCAGGTGGGCGGAGGTTGCAATGAGCAGAGATCATGCCACTGCACTCCAGCCTGAGCAACAGAGCAAGACTCCATCTGAAAAAAAAAAACCAAGATCATCATATGCAATGCATGTACCTTGATTGGATTCTAAATCAGGGGAAAATAGTATAAAGGATATTTTGGAGACAAATGGGGAAATTTAAATAAACTGTGCTGGCCGGGTGTGGTGGCTCACACATGTAATCCCAGCGCTTTGCAAGGCCAAGGAGGGCAGATCACGAGGTCAGGAGTTCGAGACCAGCCTGACCAACATGGTGAAACCCCATCTCTACTAAAAATACAAAAATTAGCCGGGCATGGTGGTGTGCGCCTGTAATCCCAGCTACTTGGGAGGCTAAGAATAGCTTAAACATGGGAGTCTGTCTGAAAAAAAAAAAGGATATATATATATACACATATATATGTATGTATATACACACACACACACACACACATATATAGATTGTGCTATTGTCTGAATTTTATTTTGTTTTGTTTTGTTTTTTGTTTTTTTTGAGACGCAGTCTCGCCCTATCACCCAGGCTTGAGTGCAGTGGCACGATCTAGGCTCACTGCAACCCCCGCCTCCTGGGTTCAAGGGATTCTCCTGCCTCAGCTGCTGGAGTAGCTGGCGTTACAGGCACCCGCTACCACGCGTGGCTAATTTTCTTTTTCTTTTTCTTTTTCTTTTCTTTTCTTTTTTTTTTTGAGACGGAGTCTCACTCCGTCACCAGGCTGGAATGCAGTAGCACAATCTTGGCTCACTACAACCTCCGCCTCCCAGGTTCAAGTGATTCGCCTGCCTCAGCCTCCCCAGTAGCTTGGACTGCAGGCTCATGCCACCAAGCCCAGCTAATTTTTGTATTTTTAGTAGAGACGGGGTTTCACCATGTTGGCCAGGATGTTCTTGATCTCTTAACCTTGTGATCTGCCTGCCTCGGCCTCCCAAAGTACTGGGATTACAGGCGTGAGCCACCACAACCAGCACTCTGAAAGTTTTTGCTGCCCCAAAATTCATACGTTGAAACCTAACCCTCAAGGAGATGATATTAAAAGCTAGGGTTCATTGGGAGGTGAGGTGAGTAGGTCATGAGAATAGAACCCTCATGAATGGGAGGCCTTAGGAAAGAGGCCCCAGGCAGGGCACGATGGCTCACGCCTATAATCCCAGCACTTTGGGAGGCTGAGGCAGGTGGATCACCTGAGGTTGGGAGTTCGAGATCAGCCTGGTCAACATGATGAAACCTGTCTTTACTAAAAATACAAAACTTAGCTGGGCGTGGTGATGTACGTCTGTAATCCCAACTACTCGGGAGGCTGAGGCAGAAGAATCATTTGAACCCGGGAGGGGGAGCTTGCAGTGAGCAGAGATTGTGCCACTGCACTACAGCCTGGCTGACAAGAGCGAGACTCCATATTACAAAAAAAAAAAAAAAAATGGTCAAACCCCAATTCGACTAAAACAAAAATTAGCCAGGCGTGGTGCCACACATCTGTAGTCCCAGCTAGTTGGGAGGCTGAGGAACAAGAATTGCTTGAACCCAGGGAGCAGAAGTTGTAGTGAACCGAGATAGCACCACTGCACTCCAGCCTGGGCGACAGAGACTTTCTCTCAAAAAAAAAAAATTTAGGGAATCAGCATGAAAGAAAATAGTCCCCTTTGTCTGTTTCTCTAACATGTTTTCACCAAAGTCTTCGTTTTTGTTTTTTGTTTTTTGTTTTGAGACACAGTCTCACTCTGTCGCCGAGGCTGGAGTACAGTGGCACTGTGTCAGCTCACTGCAACCTCCGCCTCCTGGGTTCAAGCAATTCTCCTGCCTCAACCTCCTGAGTAGCTGGGATTACAGGTGTCCACCACCACGCCTGGCTAGTTTTATATTTTTAGTAGAGACGGGGTTTCACCATGTTGGCCAGGCTGGTCTTGAACTCCTGACCTCAGGTGATCCGTCTGCCTCGGCCTCCCAAAGTGCTGGGATTACAGGCGTGAGCCACTGCACCCGGCCTGTTTTCACCAAAGTCTTAAAGACAGATCCAATATATTACTTTTTAAAAATAAGTTTCTATATCCAAGAGGATATAGGATAAGGCAAGAGGAAATTCAAGGGACATGTAAGGCAAGGTATGGGGGAAGGGGCTCAGAGCTTCCATGGCCTCCCTGGTTGTGCCACCCTTCAGGAGGCTCCACTTTTTCAAGTATCCAGAAGCTCCTGAACCCTGTCCTCGTGGATTTTCACGGAGGCTTCATGACATCAGCATTCCTTACCTCAGGGTATAGGATGGGACCCTCTTATGGGAGGGTCTTAAGACCCACAATCAGTCTTTGCCGCCGCGCCGGCGAGCGCCGCCCGGGAGGCAGCGGCTGGAGGAGCGGACGGGCCCCGCGGGGCCCGAGGGCAAGGAGCAGCCGCCGGCCTTGGCCTCCCAAAGTGCCGAGATTGCAGCCTCTGCCCGGCTGCCACCCCGTCTGGGAAGTGAGGAGTGTTTCTGCCTGGCCGCCCATCGTCTGGGATGTGAGGAGCCCCTCTGCCTGGCTGCCCAGTCTGGAAAGTGAGGAGCGTCTCCGCCCGGCCGCCATCCCATCTAGGAAGTGAGGAGCGCCTCTTCCCAGCCGCCATCACATCTAGGAAGTGAGGAGCGTCTCTGCCCGGCCGCCCATCGTCTGAGATGTGGGGAGCGCCTCTGCCCCGCCGCCCCATCTGGGATGTGAGGAGCGCCTCTGCCCGGCCGAGACCCCGTCTGGGAGGTGAGGAGCGTCTCTGCCCGGCCGCCCCGTCTGAGAAGTGAGGAGACCCTCTGCCTGGCAACCGCCCCGTCTGAGAAGTGAGGAGCCCCTCCGCCCGGCAGCTGCCCCGTCTGAGAAGTGAGGAGCCTCTCCACCCGGCAGCCACCCCATCTGGGAAGTGAGGAGCGTCTCCGCCCGGCAGCCACCCCGTCCGGGAGGGAGGTGGGGGGGGGTCAGCCTCCCGCCCGGCCAGCCGCCCCATCAGGGAGGGAGGTGGGGGTTCAGCCCCGCCGCCCGGCCAGCCGTGCCATCCGGGAGGGAGGTGGGGGGGTCAGCCCCCCGCCTGGCCAGCCGCCCCGTCCGGGAGGTGAGGGGCGCCTCTGCCCGGCCGCCCCTACTGGGAAGTGAGGAGCCCCTCAGCCCGGCCAGCCACCCCGTCCGGGAGGGAGATGGGGGGGTCAGCCCCCCCACCCGGCCAGCCGCCCCGTCCGGGAGGGAGGTGGGGGGGTCAGCCCCCCGCCCGGCCAGCCGCCCCGTCCGGGAGGGAGGTTGGGGGGTCAGCCCTCCGCCCGGCCAGCCTCCCCGTCTGGGAGGTGAGGGGCGCCTCTGCCCGGCCGCCCCTACTGGGAAGTGAGGAGCCCCTCTGCCCGGCCAGCCGCCCCGTCCGGGAGGGAGGTGGGGAGGTCGGCCCCCCGCCCGGCCAGCCGCCCCGTCCGGGAGGGAGGTGGGGGGGTCGGCCCCCCGCCCGGCCAGCCGCCCCGTCCGGGAGGGAGGTGGGGGGGTCGGCCCCCCGCCCGGCCAGCCGCCCCGTCCGGGAGGGAGGTGGGGGGGGGGTCAGCCCCCCCGCCCGGCCAGCCGCCCCGTCCGGGAGGTGAGGGGCGCCTCTGCCCGGCCGCCCCTACTGGGAAGTGAGGAGCCCCTCTGCCCGGCCAGCCGCCCCGTCCGGGAGGGAGGTGGGGGTGTCAGCCCCCCGCCCGGCCAGCCGCCCCGTCCGGGAGGGAGGTGGGGGGGGTCAGCCCCCCCGCCCGGCCAGCCTCCCCGTCCGGGAGGTGAGGGGCGCCTCTGCCCGGCCGCCCCTACTGGGAAGTGAGGAGCCCCTCTGCCCGGCCAGCCGCCCCGTCCGGGAGGGAGGTGGGGGGGGTCAGCCCCCCCGCCCGGCCAGCCGCCCCGTCCGGGAGGTGAGGGGCGCCTCTGCCTGGCCGCCCCTACTGGGAAGTGAGGAGCCCCTCTGCCCGGCCACCACCCCGTCTGGGAGGTGTGCCCAACAGCTCATTGAGAACGGGCCAGGATGACAATGGCGGCTTTGTGGAATAGAAAGGCGGGAAAGGTGGGGAAAAGACTGAGAAATCGGATGGTTGCCCTGTCTGTGTAGAAAGAAGTAGACATGGGAGACTTTTCATTTTGTTCTGCACTAAGAAAAATTTCTCTGCCTTGGGATCCTGTTGATCTGTGACCTTACCCCCAACCCTGTGCTCTCTGAAACATGTGCTGTGTCCACTCAGGGTTAAATGGATTGAGGGCGGTGCAAGATGTGCTTTGTTAAACAGATGCTTGAAGGCAGCATGCTCGTTAAGAGTCATCACCAATCCCTAATCTCAAGTAATCAGGGACACAAACACTGCGGAAGGCCGCAGGGTCCTCTGCCTAGGAAAACCAGAGACCTTTGTTCACTTGTTTATCTGCTGACCTTCCCTCCACTATTGTCCCATGACCCTGCCAAATCCCCCTCTGTGAGAAACACCCAAGAATTATCAATAAAAAAATAAATTAAAAAAAAAAAAAAAGAGGAAATTCAAATGCTCTCAGAGAAAGCAAGAGGATGCTGATAGAATTGACCTGGATAAGTCGGGGGCATGGCGGTTCACGCATAAACCCAGCACCTTAGAAGGCCGAGATGAGAGGATCGTTTGAGCCCAAGAGTCAGAGCCCAGCCTGGACAACATAGGGAGACCCCACCTCTACAAAAAAATAAAATAAAATATCACAAAATAAAATAAAAGAATTTATCTAGATAGATATGTCTGTCACAACTACTTTGAGAAAAGCTTCTGGAATATGACCAATAACCCCAGGACCCATCAATTTATGGCCACTCATGAAATACCAAAGCACATGACTAGCAATATTTAAGGAGTCTTCCTACTCACTGTGAAGAAGCATCCAGAAGAAAAAAAAGTCATACATCATTTTAGAATATTAAAAAGTCTGATAAGAGAATTTGATTAGTGTTTTTTTTTTTTTTTTTTTTGAGACAGAGTCTCACTCTGTCTCCCAGGCTGGAGTGCAGTGGCATGATCTCAGCTCACTGCAACTTCTGCCTCCTGGGTTTTACGCCATTCTCCTGCCTCAGCCTCCCGAGTAGCTGGGACTACAGGCATGCACCAGCAACGCCCGGCTAATTTTCTTGTATTTTTAGTAGAGATGGGGTTTCACCATGTTTGTCGGGATGGTCTTGAACTCCTGACCTTGTGATCCACCCGCCTCGGCCTCCCAAAGTGCTGGGATTACAGGCATGAGCCACCGTGCCCGGTGAGAATTTGATTAGTTTTTGTCCTCATTTCAAGGAAGGCCACTTCCAGAATGAGGGCAGAAATGAAGTACGTCTTAAAACAAAGGCTAGGAGCAAAAGAGGGAATGGAAAATACAAACTAATTGGGAAGCATTCTGTGTACACACAGCCACATGCATGACGCTGGGTTTATGGCATGACTCTTCCATTTTCACCAAAGACACCTTTCCTAGGGCTGCCACAACAAACTACCACACACTGGGTGGCTTCAAACAATAGAAACTTATTCTCCACAGTTGTGGGATCCAAAAGTTCCAAACTGAGGTGCCAGCAGGGCCACACTCTCTCTCCTAGCTTCTGGAAGTTGCTGGCAATTCCAGATTTTCCCTGTATTTTCCCTGTATTACAGCTGCTTACTCCAACCTCCGCTTCTGCCATCACACGGCTTCGTTGCTCTCTGTGTCTGTGGCTTCACGTGGCCCTCTTATTTCTGTGTCGTCTCTGTGTCTCTTCTCCTCTTCCTACAAGGACACTACACATATTAGATTTAGGAGGTCCACCCTAAATCATCTGAATATAGCTTTATTTTATTTTATTTTATTTTATTTTATTTTATTTTATTTTATTTTATAAGACAGAATCTCAATCTGTTGCCCAAGCTAGAATGCAGTGGCGTGATCTTGGCTCACTGCAGCCTCTGCCTCCCAGGTTCAAGCGATTCTTGTGCCTCAGCCTTGCAAGTAGCTGAGAGTACAAGTACGCACCACCACGCTTTTTTTTTGTTTGTTTATTTGTTTGTTTGTGTGTTTTGAGACCGAGTCTCGCTCTGTCGTCCAGGCTGAAGGGCAGTGGCACAGTCTCGGCTCACTGCAGCCTCTGCCTCCAGGTTCAAGCTATTCTCATGCCTTAGCCCCCTGAGTATCTGGGACTACAGGAGCATTTTTTTATTTTTATTTAGTTTGTTTATTTATTTGTTTGTTTGTTTTTTGGAAGGGAGTCTCTCTCTGTCGCCCAGGCTGGAGTGCAGTGGCACAATCTCAGTTCACTGCAGCCTCTGCCTCCTAGTTTCAAGTGATTCTCCTGCCTCAGCCTCCCAAGTAGCTGGGATTACCTGTGCGTGCCACCATGCCTGGCTAATTTTTGTATTTTTAGTAGAGATGGGGTTTCACCATGTTGCCCAGTCTGGTCTCCAACTCCTGAGCTCAGGCAATCCACCTGCCTCGGCCTCCCAAAGTGCTAGAATTTCAGGCATGAGCTACGACACCTGGCCTGAACATACCTTAACTACATTTGCAATTACTTTATTTTAAAGTAAGGTCCAATTGGCAGGCACCAGGAGTTAAGACATCAACATGGTTTTGGGGTGAACATAATTTAACCTTCAACAGCACTAAATAGTTAGCCAGTTGACTAGTACCATATTTAATTGATCATCTACATAAGAGCTTCAGGACCTGTGGGTTAAATCTAGGCCAAAAAGAAAAATCTAGGCCAAAAGATATGGTCTCTTCACTCAAGAACTTGTAGGAGAATAGTTATTATAAAACAATTTTGAAGGCCATTATTGCTAAAAAAAATTCATATTAGTGCTGTTTATAAGGTTAAAAAATAGAAACAACCTAATTATCCAATTATAAGGTTTTATAAAAGTAGAGTGACTAATTCATCCTAGTTTGTACAGGACTTTCCAATAAAAGTTCTCTATCCCAAGAACCCTCTCCAACTGAGGCAAGTGGGAATGGTTGGTCACCCTATAGCAATGCAGTAGACTAACAAGCAATTTCATTTAAAAATATGCTAACAAAGATTTTTTTTGAGGATATAGGAAAATGTTTATGATATAATGTTAAGCAACAACAAAAAAAGCAAAATTCAAAAGGCTATAACCAGTATAATCTTAATCATGCAAATTACCAAAAAAAAAGTTTTTATAGAAAAATAACTGGTACAAAGTATGCTAAAAGGCTAACTGCAGTTGCCTCTATATAGTGGGATTTTAGAAAATTTTCTTTGATGCTTCTTTACACTTAAATAATGTACTTCCCAAATTTTCTCTCAGTGAATATGCATTGCTTAATCGGGAAAAAAATTAAAGGAAAAAACAAATAATACATTTCTGGATGGAAATTAGCCTCTTAGGCTGGGCACAGTGGCTCACGCCTGTAATCCCAGAACATTGGGAGGCTGAGGCAGGCAGATCACCTGAGGTCAGGAGTTCCAGACCAGCCTGGGCCAACGTGGCGAAACCCCATCTGTACTAAAAATACAAATATTAGCCGGGCATGGTGGCACATGCCTGTAATCCCAGTTACTTGGGAGGCTGAGGCAAGAGAATCGTTTGAACGTGGGAGGCAGAGGTTACAGTGAGCCGAGATTGCGCCACTGCAGTCCAGCCCGGGCGACAGAGCAAGACTCTGTCTCACAAAAAAAAAAAAAAAAAAAAAGGAAATTAGCTTCTTAAATTTCTACTACAATTACTCTCATTGAATAATTAAAATAACAGTCTTAATAAGTATTTACTATGTGCTGAACAATAGAACTTATTTTATCATTATTCCTTACTATAAAACCACTCTGCAATGAAGGTATTGCTGTGATCACCATCTTTCAGACGAAGAAACTAAGGCTCTCAGAGGTGACTAACTTGCCAGCTGGATAATGGACAAGCTAGGACTCCAGCCCCTCTCTGAACCACAATAGTACTCAGGAACCTTATCCATTTGATCAATGTCTGCAGCAGCACGTTCTAGTGTACCCCACTATTTCCCCAAGTGTTTCCTATGAGACTCCCTCAAGCTGCTGATGTACACAAATAAAAGGAAGTCTGAGTTGAAGTGGTTCATAGAAAAGTTCAGAAAAGAGGTCAAGCACAGTGGCTCACACCTGTAATCCTAGCAATTTGGGAGGCCGAGCCCAGTGGATCATCTGAGCTCAGGAGTTCAAGACCAGTGTGGTCAACCTGGAGAAACCCCGTCTCTACTAAAAATACAAAAATTAGCCAGGCATGGTGGTACACACCTAGAATCCCAGCTACTCGGGAGGCTGAGGCAGGAGAATCGCATGAACCCAGGAGGCAGAGGTTGCTGTGAGCAGAGATCACGCCCCTGCACTCCAGCCTGGGTGACAAAGTGAGACTCCATCTCAAAAAAGAAAAAAAAAAGTTATTTTTCTCACTCATTTGTATAAATATAATTATTACTAGTTTTTTATTCTTATTCTTTGTGCATTCCTTTGACATTTTTTTTCTTTCTTTCTTTCTTTTTTTAATTTTTGAGACAGAGTTTCACTCTTGTCACCCAGGCTGGAGTGCAATTGCATAATCTCAGCTCACTACAACTTCCACTTTTAGAGTACAAGCATTTCTCCAGCCTCACCCTCCTGAGTGAGTGGTTAGGATTACAGGTACCCGCC
The DNA here is from genome assembly GCF_000001405.40 of Homo sapiens. Lineage (NCBI taxonomy): Eukaryota > Metazoa > Chordata > Mammalia > Primates > Hominidae > Homo > Homo sapiens. The sequence continues at coordinate 15,194,732 of NC_000006.12, forward strand.
ACCATGCTTGCCTAATTTTTCTTTTTTCTTTTTCTTTTTCAGCTGGAGTATTGCTCTATCACCCAGGCTGGAGTGCAGTGGCGTGATCTTGGCCCACTGCAATCTCTGCCTCCCACGTTCGAGCAATTCTCCTGCCTCAGCTTCCAAAGTAGAGGGGAGTACAGGCATCCGCCATCAAGCCCAGCTCACCTAATTACAATTAGGCCAAGTGCGGTGGCTCATGACTGTAATCCTAGCACTTGGGGAGGCAGGTGGATCACCTGAGGTCAGGAGTTCAAGACCAGCCTGACCAACATGGTGAAATCCCAACTCTACTAAAAATACAAAAATTAGTCAGGCATGGTGGCAGGTGTCTGTAATCCCAGCTACTCAGTAGGCTGAGGCAGGAGAATCGCTTGAACCTGGGAGGCTGAGGGTGCAGTGAGCTGAGATTGTGCCATTGCACTCCAGCCTGGGCAACAAGAGCAAAACTCTGTCTCAAAAAATTAATTAATTAATTGTGTTTTGTTGTTTTTCTTTGAGACGGAGTCTTGCTCTATCACCCAGGCTGGAGTGCAGTAGCATGATCTCAGCTCACTGCAACCTCTGCCTCCCAGGTTCAAGCGATTCGCCTGCCTCAGCCTCCCGAGTAGCTGGGATTGCAGGCACCAGCCACCATGCCTGGCTAATTTTTGTATTTTAGTAGAGATGAGGTTTCACCATGTTAGCCAGTTTGGCCTCGAACGCTTGACCTCAGGTGATCCACCCACCTCAGCCTCCCGAGGTGCTGGGATTACAGGCGTGAGCCACCGCGCCTGGCCTAATTTTAATTAAAAAGAGGATTTTAATAATTTTTGGCACATAGACTGTGTACTTATTTTATATATTCTTACTGCTGTAGCTTTTGAAGTCACAGAATGGTAAACATATTCTAGAAATTGATAGTATGATAGGTTTTAGGGAAGAAGAGATTTTAGGTGCTTTTTTGTCAGTAGTTAGGGTAAGTTAATCTTTTATGTTTTAGCTCCTGTTATTGATAGAGTGGAGACAAAAAAAGTGGGGAATTTTGTAATAAAATCTCCCCGCTGTAAACAATGACTTTCCAAGAAATATTAGAGGAAATTGTTTCTTTGTAATAATGATCACAGATAGTGGAACCCCCTTACTAATTTGTGATGTTCCCCATCTGGGTGCATGTTCTCTAAGACTGAGTTTGTTGTAAATCAATTAGAAATGCCCAGAAACATAAGCATGATTCTCTTTACAGACACGTACATGCATGAAAGAGAACCCTAATGGGGCAGTCTCTAGGCTTAAGGAGGACATTGCATTTTCTTTCTTTTATTTTTTTGAGATGGACTCTTGCTCTGTAACCCAGGCTGGAGTGCCATGGTGCAATCTCGGTTCACTGCAACCCCCACCTCCCGGGTTCCAGCGATTCTCCTGCCTCAGCCACCCAAGTATCTGAAATTACAAGCTCCCACCACCACACCTGGCTAATTTTTTGTATTTTCAGTAGAGTCAGGGTTTCACCATGTTGGTCAGGCTGGTCTTAAACTCCTGACCTCAGATGCTCTGCCCGCCTCGGCCTCCCAAAGTACTGGGATTACAGACGTGAGCCACCGTGCCTGACCTGCATTTTCTTAAATAAGAGACAAACTTAGTAACTGAAAAATAGGAAAAATGTCCACTCACAAATTTTAGTAATCTTAATTGAATTTGGGGAGAAAAAACAAAGTACTTTTAAAACTGCAGTATGATGACGTATATAAATCACAATAATTCTTTTAATTATTCCATTAATTTGTGAATAAAAGCAATTTGGTTGAGGATCGCTTGGGCCAGAGAGGTCAAGATTGCAGTGAGCCATGATGGAGCCACTGCACTCCAGCCTGAGTGACAGAGTGCGACCCTGTCTCAAAAAAAAAAAAGAAAAGTATTTTAAAAAGACAGGGGTGTGTTCTTTTTTTTTTTTTTCCTTTTCTTTTCTAAGATGGAGTCTTATTCTGTCACCCAGGCTGGAGTGCAGTGGCACAATCTTGACTCACTGCAACCTCCACCTCCCGGGTTCAAGCAATTCTTCTGCCTCAGCCTCCTGAGTAGCTAGGACTACAGGTATGCACCACCACGCATGGCTAAGTTTTTGTATTTTTAGTAGAGATGGGGTTTCACCATGTTGACCAGGGTGGTCTCAAACTCCTGACCTCGTGATCGGCCCTCCTCAGCTTCCCAAAGTGTTGGGATTACAGGCATGAGCCACCGCACCCGGCAGGGGTGTGTTCTTTTCACATAACAAGAAGTCTGGAGCTGGGCAGCCCAAGGCTGGTGGTACAGGTGATCAATTATACTTTGGGGGACCCAGGGTCTTTTAACTTTCTCTTCTGTCATCTTTCCCTGAAGGCCTTGATCCTTATACTTGTGTCTTCATGGTCACAACATGGTACACTAGCTGTGTTACAAGAAAGGGGTCTCGATCCAGACCCCAAGAGAGAGTTTTTGGATCTCGCACAAGAAAGAATTCAAGGGAAGTTCATAGTGTAAAGTGAAAGTAAGTTTGTTAAGAAAGTGGAGGAGGCCGGGCACAGAGGCTCATGCCTGTAATCCCAGCACTTTGGGAGACTGAGGCAGGCCGATCACCTGAGGTTGCAAGTTCGAGACCAGCCTGACCAACATGGAGAAACCCCGTCTCTACTAAAAATACAAAAATTAGCCGGGCATGGTGGCGCATGCCTGTAATCCCAGCTACTTGGGAGGCTGAGGTAGGAGAATCACTTGAACCTGGGAGGCGGAGGTTGCTGTGAGCCGAGATCACGCCACTGCCCTCCAGCCTGGGCAACAAGAGGGAAAACTCTGTCTCAAAAAAAAAAAAAAAAAGAAAGTAGAGGAATAAAAGAATGTCTACTCCATAGTCAGAGCAGCCTCAAGGGCTGCTGGTTACTCATTTTTATGGTTATTTATTGATGATATGGTAAACAAAGGGTGGATTATTCATGTCTCCCCTTTTTAGACCACGTAGGGTAACTTCCTGACTTTGCCCTGGCATCTATAAACTGTCATGGCGCTGGTGGGAGTGTAGCAGTGAGGAGGACCAGAGGTCACTCTAGTGGCCATCTTGGTTTTTGGAGGGTTAGAGCCGGCTTCTTTACTGCAACAGTTTTATCAGCAAGGTCTTCATGACCTGTGTCTTGTGCCAACCTCCTGTCTCATCCTGTGACTTAGAATGCCTTAACTTTCTGGGAATGCAGCCCAGTAGGTCTCAGCCTCATTTTACCCAGCTCCTATTCAAGATGGAGTTGCTCTGGTTCAAATGCCTCTGACAGTTGTACCCTGAGTACCGTGAACACAATTCAGAAGAAGGAGAAGGGGCATGGGGCCAGTCATCCCTGCCCCCAACCACTTTGTTTTTTGTTTTTTGTTTTTGTTTTTGAGATAGGTCCTGACTCTGTTTCTCGGGCTCTTGTGCGGTGGCACAATCTCAACTGACTGCAGCCTCAACCTTCCTGTCTCAAGCAATCCTCCCACCTCAGCCTCCTGGGTGACTGAGACTGCAGGCATGCACCATCATGCCAGGCTAATTTTTTTTTGTAGAGAAGGGCTTTTGCCATATTGCCCAGGCTGTTTTTAAATTTCTGGACTGAAGCAATCCGCGTGACCATCAGCCCCATTTTATCCAGAAAAGAAAAGCTTTCTTAGAAGCCTGCATTCAACCGACTTCTTGATGGGCCAGAACTATGACACATATGCACCCCGACTCCAAGTGAGTCCAGAAAAAAAAGTATCGTAGGACTTTGCTGCCCTGAATCACAAGGGGGTTTTATTTCTAAGGAAGACAGAGGGAATGGCTATTGCATAAACAGCTGATAATATGTGCCACCAGCATGAGGGAGACTGAGGAGTGGCCAGAGAAGGAAAAGGGAAAAAAGAGAGTGTGTGATGCTCCCAAACCAGAGGAGATTCTTTTAAAAAGGAGGGAGATGGCCAAGTGTGGTGATCCCAGCACTTTGGGAGGCCGACGCAGGAGGATCACTTGCGCCCAGGAGTTCAAGACCAGCCTGGGAACATAGCCAGACCCCCATTTCTGAGAAAAATAAATAAATAAAAATTCAAAAAAAGAAAAGGAGGGATTCCTAGCACTTTTGGGAGGCTGAGGTAGGCATATCACTCGAGGTCAAGAGTTCCAGACCAGCCTGGCCAACCAACATGGTGAAATCCTGTCTCTACTAAAAATACAATAATATACTAGGCATGGTGGTGCACACCTGTAATCCCAGCTACTTAGGAGGCTGAGGTAGGAGAAATACTTGAACCCGGGAGGTGGGGGTTGCAGTGAGCCAAGATCACGCCATTGCAATCCAGCCCGGGGAACAAAAGGGAAATTCCGTCTCAAACAAAAAAGAAAAAAGAAAAAACAGAAGAGGAGGGATAGATGAACGGCATCAAATATTCCTAAAAGCCTGAGATGAAGGTAGTGGGGGAGTACAACAGATTTCACAACATGGAGGTCATTGGTGACAATGACAAGAGCATTGTCATTGATCTGTGCTCATTTCTGTGACATGGTGGGCATGGGAGCCCAAGTGAAGTGAAGTATGCCAAGGAGAGAATAGGATGTGCAGAAGTGGAGACTAATTTTTTTTTTTTTTTTTTTTTTCTTGAGACAGATTCTTGCACCTAGGCTGGAGTGCAGTGGCGCGATCTCGGCTCACTGCAAGCTCCGCCTCCCGGGTTCACGCCGTTCTCCTGCCTCAGCCTCCTGAGTAGCTGGGACTACAGGCACCCGCCACGGTGCCCGGCTAATTTTTTGTATTTTTCGTAGAGATGGGGTTTCACCGTGTTAGCCAGGATGGTCTTGATCTTCTGACTTCGTGATCCACCCGCCTCGGCCTCCCAAAGTGCTGGGATTACAGGCGTGAGCCATCACTCCTGGCCAAGTGGAGACTAATTTTATCTGAGGCAGTTGGAGTACAAAGGGCAGTAAAAAGGGAAGAATGTTTTGGGATGGAGGATGTCTATCTCCTCAATTGTTAGGATGGAGCAGTTAATAAATAGCTTAATATCTATCTGAAAACATTAAAGTTCAGAGTGTCATAACCCCATTTCTTCCCAAAGCTATGTGGCAAGACACATTGAACAGGCTTTGGAGCCAGAAAGAGTTAAGTTTGAATCCTAATTCTGCCACTAACTAGTTGTGTGAACTTAAGCCAGTTGCTTAACCACTGTTCCCATCTGCTCCTAAGTGAAATAAGACAATCCTGCCTACCTTGAAAGCTGTTGAAAGCATAGATGACTGCAAAGTACCTATCATGGTGCCTGGCACATAGTAAATCATTAATAAATGGTACTACCATTCTTGCAGGCCAGAACTAGCATTTATATATCAAGGGTCTAAATGAAAGTCCCATGAGACAAATACAGTAAATGTTTAATAACATTTGTAATTTCCTTTGAGCCAAACCACGGGAAGACAATCAAGCCCATATAGCCATGCTGCATAACACGCACAGCTCAAGCTACTCCTTAATGTTTCCCTATTTGTAATGCGGCAGAAAATCATGTACCTGCTTGTCTCTCTGAGGCTCAAAGTATAGCCAGAGGGCTGAGCAGCAGCTGAGCATCTGCCTTCTCCTTGAAATTCAGGGTCAGCAGGAGGACAGACCCACAAGAACACTCACAAGGGGGGACAGTTCTTTGCAAGGCAGATGTAAGAACAAATCCTAAGCAGGAAAATGTGTGCATGCGTGCAGATGAAAAGGTAGGTATCATGAGCGCTCTCATATGATGTGCGAGCTAAGTTTATATTATTACTACTTTATAATAATTATTCTGATTCTTACTTTTATTCAAGTTAGCTCTTTGTCTAAAACCAGGGAAAGGGGTCAATCAGAGTAGGAGATTAGAGAGGTGTTTGTAGGATGAAAGAAGGAATTCTAGGCCAGGCGCAGTGGCACTCACCTGTAATCCCAGCACTTTGGGAGGCTGAGGCAGGTGGATCACCTGAGGTCAGGAGTTCAAGACCAGCCTGGCCAACATGGTGAAACCCCGTCTCTACTAAATATACAAAATTAGACGGGTGTGGTGTCACACGCCTGTAATACCAGCTACTCAGGAGGCTGAGCAGGAGAATCACGCTTGAACTCGAGAGGCAGAGGTTGCAGTCAGCCGAGATCTAGCCATTGCACTCCAGCCTGGGCAAAAAGAGCGAAACTCTGCCTCAAAAAAAAAAGCACGGCAGAATTCTAGTTTCTCTATCCTGCACACCACACTGAATGATCTTCTGACTCTGATAGAATTAGAGTATTGATGGGCCGGGCACGGTGGCTCACACCTGTAATCCCAGCGCTTTGGGAGGCCAAGGCGGGTGGATCACGAGGTCAGGAGTTTAAGACTAGCCTGGCCAAGATGGTGAAACCCTGTCTCTACTAAACATACAAAAATTAGCCGAGCACTTTGTCAGGCACGTGTAATCCCAGCTACTCGGGAGGCTGAGGCAGGAGAATTGCTTGAACCCAGGGTGCGGAGGTTGCAATGAGCCGAGATCATGCCACTGCACTCCAGCCTGGGCGACAGAGTGAGACTCCTTCTCAAAAAAAAAAAAAAAAAATTAGAGTATTGATGAAGATGCCACTGGCTTGTGGGGGAACAGGGCCATTGTGCCTTACCCTGTATTGCACACTGAGCCCAGCAGCCGAGAGGGCACAAACACTGGAGCCAGGCTGTCTTGGTTCAAATCCTAGCTCCATGTCTTAGTATCTGGGTGACCTCAGGCAAATTTCTTAACTTTTCTGAGCCTTAGTGTCTTCAACACTAAATAGGCATAATAAAATCTCTATCACAGTTGCGTTATAAAGGATTGAACAGGGGGAGCTTTCAGACCAAGATGAAGACGTGACAGAATCTATACCAACCCAAGGGAGCCCTGGAGCAAGCGATGCCTACTAGAGGAATTTTTTCTGGGCACAAACATTCTGCCCAGCCCTTGTAGACCCACCTCCTTGCTCAGCCATTCATAGGCGGTGACCTGTAAAGCATAACCTCAAGCTGAGGGGGACCCTAGAGGGGACAACTAGAGGCCATCAGCCCCATAGGGAGGTTTTGTTTTGTTTTGTTTTGTTTTCTTTGGAGATAGGTTCTTGCTCTGTTGCCTAGGCTGGAGTGCAGTAGCAAGATCTCATCTCACTGCAGCCTTGACCTCCCAGGCTATCCCCATTACAAGAAAAATAACTCAACATTAGGCCCTTTTTGCCACTGGTCAAGGTTAAATTGACAAGGCAACTCTATTAGTTGGCTAGGGCTGCCATAACAAGGTACCACAGACTTGGTGGCTTTGTTTTTCTTTTTTGATACAGGGACTGGCTCTGTTGCCCAGGCTGCAGTGCAGTGGCATAAACACAGCTCACTGCAGCCTTGACCTCCTGGGCTCAAGTGATCCTCCCAACTCAGCCTCTTGAGTAAATGGTACTATAGACATGCAGCACCACCACCACTGCTGGCTAATTAAAAAAAAAAAATTTTGTAGGAATGGGATCTTAATATGTTGCCCAGGATGGACTCAAACTCATGGCCCCCGTCAGTCCTCTTGCCTCCACTTTCTAAAGCTCTGGGATTACAGGAATGAGCCACCATGCTTGGCCAACAAAATTTATTTATTTATTTATTTATTTTGAGACAGAGTTTCGCTCTTGTTGCCCAGGCTGGAGTGCAATGGCACAATCTTGGCTCACCGCAACCTCCGCCTCCCGGGTTCAAGCGATTCTTCTGCCTCAGCCTCCCAAGTAGCTGGGATTACAGGCATGCGCTACCACGGCCGGGTAATTTTGTATTTTTTCTTTAGTAGAGACAGGGTTTCTCCATGTTGGTCAGGCTGGTCTTGAACTCCTGACCTCAGGTGATCCACACGCCTTGGCCTCCCAAAGTGCTGGGATTACAGGTGTGAGCCACCACACCCAGCCGCAAAATTTATTTTTAACAAACATTAGGAAAAAAAAGACATTGGAGCATTTCCTAGAATCCCCAGTACTGGATTAATGGTAGCAACTGAAGAAGAAGAAGATGGGAGAACAAAAGAAAGGAGAAAGAAAAGGCAGAAAAGGGAGAGAAGAAGGAGGTGGAGAGAGAAGGAAGAGAAAGGACCAGAAGAAAAGAGAAATGAGAAGGGGTCAGGGAGAGGAGAGCAGTAATGTAACTAGGTATGGGGTTCACCTTGCCTACCGTCTAGACAGAGCTGATCCAACAAGACAGGGGAACTGCAGTAGAAAAAGAGTAATTCACGCCGGTCACGGTGGCTCACGCCTGTAATCCCAGCACACTGGGAGGCCGAGGCGGGCGGATCACCTGAAGTCAGGAGTTTGAGACCAGCCTGACCAACATGGAGAAACTCCGTCTCTACTAAAAAAAATACAAAATTAGTCAGGCGTGGTGGCACATGCCTGTAATCCCAGCTACTCGGGAGGCTGAGGCAGGAGAATCACTTGAACCTCGGAAGCGGAGGTTGCAGTGAGCTGAGATCACGCCACTGCACTCCAGCCTGGGCAACAACAGTGAAACTCTGTCTCAAAAAAAAAAAAAAAGAAAGAAAAAGAAAAGAAAAAGAGTAATTCACACCGAGCCAGCTGTGCAGGAGACTGGAGTTTTATTTTATTTTATTTTATTTTATTATTTTATTTTTGAGACAGAGTCTCGCTCTATCACTCAGGCTGGAGTGCAGTGGCTCCATCTCGGCTCACTGCAACCTCCGCCTCCCGGGTTCAAGCGATTCTGCTGCCTCAGCCTCTCGAGTAGCTGAGATTAATAGGCGCCCACCACCACGTCCGGTTAATTTTTTTGTATTATTAGTAGAGACGGGGTTTCACCCTGTTAGCCAGGATGGTCTGGATCTCCTGACCTCGTGATTTGCCCGCCTCAGCCTCCCGAAGTGCTGGGATTACAGGCGTGAGCCACCATGCCTGGCTGGAGTTTTATTATTACTCAAATCAGTCTCCCTGAATTGGGGAGCAGAGTTTAAGGATAACTTGGTGGGTAGGGGGAAGCCAGTGAGCCAAGAGTGCTGATTGGTCAGAGATGAAATCAAAGGGAGTCCCGGGTGTCTTCTTGTGCTCAGTCAGTTCCTGGGTGGGGGCCACAAGATCAGATGAGCCAGTTTATTGATCTGGGTGGGGCCAGCTGACCCATCAAGTGCAGGGTCTGCAAAATATCTCAAGCACTGATTTTTTTTTTTTTCTTGAGGCGGAGTCTCGCTCTGTTGCCCAACCTGCAGTGCAGCGGCGCGATCTCGGCTCACTGCAACCTCCGCCTCCCGGGTTCACGCCATTCTCCTGCCTCAGCCTCCCGAGTAGCTGGGACTACAGGCGCCCGCCACTACGCCCGGCTAATTTTTTTTGAATTCTTAGTAGATTCGGGGTTTCACCATGTTAGCCAGGATGTTCTTGATCTGACCTCGTGATCCGCCCGCTTCAGCCTCCCAAAGTGCTGAGATTACAGGCGTGAACCACCGTGCCCGGCCTCAAGCACTGATCTTAAGAGCCGTTTAGGGAGGGTCAGGATCTTGTAGCCTTCAGCTACATGACTCCTAAACCATAATTTCTAATCTTATGGCTCATGTTGGTCCTACAAAGGCAATCTAGTCCCCAGGCAAGAAGGAGGTCAGCTTTGGGAAAGGGCTGTTAGCATCTTTGTTTAAACTATAAACTATATGTTTCTCCCAAAGTTAGTTCAGCCTACACCGAGGAAGGAACAAGGACAGCTTGGAGGTTAGAAGCAAGATGGAATCCATTAAGTTAGAGCTCTTTCACCGTCTCAGTCATAATTTTGCAAAAGCAGTTTCAGTAACCAGCTTTGTCCCAGGTTTGGGTTCCCAGCCATTTGAAGGTGGCCTGAGGTGGGCTAAGGGAAAGAAGAACCTTATTAAGAACTTGGCCGGGCAGGGTGGCTCAGGCCTGTAATCCTAGCAATTTGGGAGGCCAAGGCGGGCATATCATCTGCGGTCAGGGGTTCAAGACCAGCCTAGCCAACATGTCAAAACCCTGTCTCTACTAAAAATACAAAAATTAGCCAGGTGTGGTGGTGCATGCCTGTAATCCCAGCTACTAGGGAGGCTGAGGCCGGAGAATCACTTGAACCCAGGAGGCGGGGGTTGCAGTGATCTGAGATCATGCCATTGCACTTTGACATAGGTGACAAGAACAAAACTTCGTCTCAAAAAAAAAAAAAGAGAAATGGCAAAATCCGCATTTGAACCCAGGTCATCTGATTCCCAAAAGGCTGCCCTCATGTAACATCTTAACCATGTGCCAGGTTGCACACCTCTTTACTGAGCTCCAGGGTGTTGCTTGAACTCTCCAGAGCCCACACCCAGCTCATGGCCTCTTGCAGTAAAAAGAACACAAGGTTAAGAGCTAAAAGGTCTGAGCTCTAGCCTCAATTTTGAGGTCAAGTAGGCAAGTAGCAGTGTCCTTGAGCAGTCCCCTGTAAACCTTACAGCCTTGTTTTTGTCTCTTCTCTTTTTTTTTTTTTTTTTTTTTGAGATGGAGGAGTTTCACTCTGTCACCCAGGCTGGAGTGCGGTGGCGCCATCTCGGCTGAGTGCAACCTCCACCTCCTGGGCTTAAGCGATTCTCCTGCCTCACCCTCCTGAGTAGCTCGGATTACAGACGCACACCACCATGTTTGGATAATTTATTTGTATTTTTAGTAGAAATGGGGTTTCACCATGTTGGTCAGGCTGGTCACAAACTCCTGACCTCAAGTGATCCACCCCCCTTGGCTTCCCAGTGTTCTGGGATTACAGGTGTGAGCCATCGCTCCCGGCCTGCCCCTTCTCTTTTAACTGAGGAGATGGGTGACTTGTCCTGTAAGACTCCTCCCAGCTATGCAGTCCTGAAAGTTATCCATTAGCAAGGGTGAATAATCACCAAATAATTGCAGGATAGGTTAGGGTAGATTTGTCTTCATTTTCACTGTAGACTATTAAATCAATCCAGATTGTCAATAGAGAGTCAGAAAAGAGTGGATTTATTTATTTATTTATTTTTGAGCCGGCGTCTTGCTCTGTCTCCCAGGCTGGAGTGCAATGGCACAATCTCAGCTCACTGCAACCTCCGCCTCCCAGGTTCAAGCAATTCTCTTGCCTCAGCCTCTCGAGTAGTTGGAATTACAGGTGCCCATGACCACACCCGTCTGATTTTTGTATTTTTAGTAGAGATGACATTTCGCCATGTTGGTCAGGCTGGTCTTGAACTCCTGACCTCAGGTGATCCGCCTGCCTCAGCCTCACAAAGTGCTGGGATTACAGCTATGAAACAGCGTGCATGGCGAGTGGATTTATTTTTTTGATTATTATGAATAAGACCTTCTCCATGTAGTAGGCCAACCTGGCTATCTCTCCTTAGCTGAAGCCAGATCTCTTTCCCCTGAGAGAACATAACTTTTTTTTTTTTTTTTTTTTCTGATACGGAGTCTCGTTCTGTCGCCCAGGCTGGAGCGCAGTGGCGCCATCCCGGCTCACTGCAAGCTCTGCCTCCCGGGTTCACGCCATCCCCTGAGAGAACATATTTATTTCCCCTCGTATAAGGGAAAGTCCTCACATGCTCAAATCAGAAATCCTTCCAGTTTAGATGTGCTTTGGATCTGCAGAGGCTTTTATTCCCTCTTTCATGAAATGAATCATAATTAATAATAGCCAGAGGATGAGGAATTACAGTCATGCCTTCGGATGTGTCTTCAGCCTAGCGAATGATGACAGCAATGACGAAGCATTTCATCAGCTTGAACACATCCTTCACCCCAGAATTTCCACCTGGTACCCCCACAGAAGAGCCCTCACAATGTGGTTGGAAGAGCAGAGGAAATGAGGCCCAGTTAGTCAACTGCCTCGTGCAACTCCTACTAAACCAGTGATTCAGCTCTTGGCCCACAAAAACCAACTTTTTTATTCCTAAGAGAAAAAAGAGAAAGAATTCAAAGTTAGTACTGATTTAGGAAAATGAATCAAATTCCCTCTGAGCAAATGAAAGTCAGCAGAATTGCTAAAAGTCCACTAATTTTCCACTAAGTTATTTCACTTTCTGGAAGTTTATCCACTCAGATAATCAACAAAAGCCACATCTATAGAGAGGTGGGTAAAGAAGGTAGGCCAGCTTCTGGAACTGTCTGGATTACTCCTAAACATGAGGGGAAATATTTCACACTCACAGAACTGCAGGAAAATAAAACACATGAGAAAAAAAAAAAAAAAAAAGGATTAGGTCAGGTGCGGTGGCTCCTGCCTGTATTCCCAGCACTTTGGGAGGCCAAGGCAGTAGGATTGCTTGAGGCCAGGAGTTCAAGACCAGCCTGGGCAAAATAGTAAGACCCCATCTCTATGAAATACACAAAAATTAATGGGGCATGGTGGTGCATGCCTTTAGTTCTGTCAGAGGCATTTGAACCAGAGCAACTCCATCTTGAGTAGGGGCTAGGTAAAATAAGGCTGAGACCTGCTGGGCTGCATTCCTAGGAGGTCAAAGCATTCTTTATTACAACATGAGGTAGGAGGTCGACACAGGATACAGGTCATAAAAACTTTGCTGATAAAATAGTTTGCAGTAAAGAAGCCTCCTAGAACCCACTAAAACCGAGATGGCCACGAGAGTGACCTCTGGTCGTCCCCACTGCTACACTCCCATCATCGCCATGACAGTCTACAAATGCCATGGAAAATGTCAGGAAGTTACCCTATATGATCCAAACAGGGGAGGCGGCCGGGAGCGGTGGCTCACGCCTGTAATCCCAGCACTTTGGGATGCTGAGGCGGGTGGATCACGAAGTCAGGAGATCAAGACCATTCTGGCTAACATGGTGAAACCCCGTCTCTACTAAAAATACAAAAAAAAAATTAGCCGAGTGTGGTGGTGGGCGCCTGTAGTCCCAGCTACTCTGGAGGCTGAGGCAGGAGAATGGCGTGAACCCGGGAGGCAGAGCTTGCAGTGAGCAGAGATCATGCCACTGCACTCCAGTCTGGGCAACAGAGCGAGACTTCCTCTCAAGAAAAAATAAATAAATAAATAAATAAATAAAGCAAGAATAATCCACCTGTTGTTTAGCATATAATCAAGAAATAACCATAAAAATGGTCAACCCTCAGGGCTGCTCTGTCTACAGAGGGGCTACTCTTTTATTCCTCTACTTTCTTAATAAACTTGCTTTCACTTTCCTCTATGGGCTCCCCTGAGTTCTTTCTTGCGTGAGATCCAAGAACCCACTCTTGGCGTCCAGCAACAGTTCCACCTACCCAAGAGGCTGAAGCGGGAGGATCACTAGAGCCAGAGAGATTGAGGCTGCAGTGAGCTATGACCTCACCACTGCACTCCAGCCTGGGCTACAGAACAAGACCCAGTCTCAAAAAAAAAAAAAAAAAGAGAAAAGAAAAAAAAGAGGACTGAGTCAGCCTTTTCACTTATTATCCCTCTGGCCCTCATTCCTCCTTTTGGTTTGAGAACTAAGGTTTTTGTCATCACAAGTGCAAATGAGTCTTATTCATTCAAGGGAGTCAGGCTTAGCCTGACCCCTTTACTAACTGTGAGCAGTGGATTGTTAAACCTAATAAGCATATGCACATTTGTTCTAAGAACAAATAGCTTTGGGGTAAGATGCAAGATGACCTGCCTTGGAAATAAAATATTAAGTACTTAACATTTTACCATAAACAGTTGCCTAATGTCTAATCGAGTGGGATTTGATGTCTTATTATTTGATCCAGCTTCAGCTATTTTCTATGACTGAATTCAGGATCCCCTCCACCACCATCATCAGTACCTTCCATTACCCATCCAGCTCTCAACAGATCTTCTTTTAGCCTTTAAATGACTCTGAGCCCACACACAGAAAAAAAAGAAGTTGTTTTAGGTTCAAGAAACTGCCCTTTCCTCTTTTTAATTACAGTATATCCAAATGGTAAGTGCTTTTATTTGCATTTGAAGGAAAAATTCAAAGAGTTGGGGTTGGAATGAGGAAGTTCTTAAACATCTTTCCTAAATATCCTGACAATGAAAACCCATAGAAAGGGAAAGACTCCAAGACTAGCAAGGGTAATGATAAACAAAACAAAATAAACTATCCAAAAGAGAGAAAATCCCTGATCTCTCTTTTCTCTTTCTTCCCCTTTGGCTTCTTTAGTGGGTTATCTCCTTTTTGCCCACAGGCAGAGCATCCAGATTTCTTTCAGAATAACAATGGCTGTTATCTAATTCCTAAACTATTCCTTTCATCTTAAACCTTCCCGAGGCAAATCCTCCATCTCCCTCCTAGCCTCACCCTCAAGCACTTTATTTTAGCCATGATATATATGTATGTGTATATATATATATAGTTGCCCAAGCTGGAGTGCAATGGCGTGATCCCGGCTCACCGCAACCTCTGCCTCCTGGGTTCTAGTGATTCTCCTGGTCAGCCTCCCGAGTAGCTGGGATTACAGGCATGCACCACCACACCCAGCTAATTTTTTGTATTTTTAGTGGAGACAGGGTTTCTCCATGTCGGTCAGGTTGGTCTCGAACTCCCAACGTCAGGTGATCCGCCCACCTCGGCCTCCCAAAGTGCTGGGATTACAGGCGTGAGCCACTATGCCCGGCTTAGCCATGCTATATTTTTAATTCTCAGAATTGTTTCTACCGATACAATGGAGTATGCTTCTCTGAAATGTTTCTACTGTTGGTGGACATCACATCAGTACTTCTTACCTTTCCTTTACCCTTAAGTTGAAAGGGAAGGGTGTGAAACATTAGAAACTTTGGATAGTCATAGAAATACAGACTGCCTCACCTCCCTATCCATTTCTCCTCCAAAAGAGGAAAGAGGACTTCCTTTATTTATTTATTTTTATTTTTTTTGAGATGGAGTCTCTGTCACCCAGGCTAGAGTGCCGTGGCGCGATCTCGGCTCACTGCAAACTCCACCTCCCAGGCTCAAGCAATTTTCCTACTTCAGGCTCCCGAGTAGCTGGGACTACAGGCGCGTGCCACTATGCCCACTTAATTTTTGTATTTTAAGTAGAGACGGGGTTTCACCATGTTGGGCAGGCTGGTCTCAAACTCCTGACCTCAGGTGATCCACCCACCTCGGCCTCTCAAAGTGCTGGGACTACAGGCCTGAGCCACTGCACCCGCCTGGAAAGAGGAGCTTCTTAACCGAAGGGCTCAGCAATGAAGCCTAGACAGGAGTCTTGGATCACTTACTTCCCTCCTTGATTTACTAACTTACAAAAGTTTTTAATTGGCCTGCAATGTGCCATGCACTTATTCTAGGCCCTGGGTTTACAGCAGTCTACATGACAACAAGGATTCTGCAATCATGGGAGTTCTTATTCTGGTGAAGGACACCAGCAGTGTGCAAATGAATAATATATGGCTGGTATGAAGAAAACGAACAGTAATGTGATAAGAATTGGGATAGAAGTCAGAAAAGGTCTTGCAGAGAAGATGACATTCACGCTAAGACCTGTAGGAATATCTCACATGTGGGAAAATCAGAAGAGCCATTCTGAGGAAGGAGGGGTGCAAATGCAGGAGGTTGACCTGTTATAGGCAGCAAGGTGATTTGGGTGACTGGACCTTATTAGCTAGGAAGGAAGTGGTAGTGTTAGGGACATTGGAACCAGAGCAACTCCATTTTGAATAGGGGCTGGGTAAAATAAGGCTGAGACATAATGGGCTGCATTCCCAGACAGTTAGGCATTCTAAGTCACAGGATGAGATAGGAGGTCGACACAAGATACAGGTCATAAAGACCTTGCTGATAAAACAGGTTGTAGGCCAGGCGCAGTGGCTCACGCCTGTAATCCCAGCACTTTGGGAGGCCAAGGAGGGCAGATCACCTGAGGACAGGAGTTCAAAACCAGCCTGGCCAACATGGCAAAACCCCGTCTCTACTAAAAATACAAAAATTAGCCAGGCGTGGTGGCGGGTGCCTGTACTCCCAGCTACGTGGGAGGCTGAGGCAGGAGAATCACTTGAAGCCAGGAGGTGGAGGTTGCAGTGAGCCAAGATCGTGCCACTGCACTCCAGCCTGGGGAATAGGAGTGAGACTCAAAAAAAGAAAAAAAAAAAAACAAAAACAGGTTGCAGTAGAGAAGCCAGCCAAAACCCACCAAAACCAAGATGGCCTCTGGTCATCCTCACTGCTACACTCCCACCAGCGCCATGACGGTTCAGAAATACAAACACAACATCAGAAAGTTACTCTACATGGTCTAAAAAGGGGAGGAACCCACAGCAGCTACAGGAATTGCCCACCCCTTTCCTGGAAAGCTCATGAATAATTCACCCCTTATTTAGCATACAATCAAGAAAGACGCATAAAAATAAGCAACCAGCGCCCTTAGGGATGCTCTGCCTATTGGAGTAGCCATTCTTTCTTCCTCTACTTTCTTTTTTGTGTGTGTGAGCCACCATGCCCAGTCCTACATTTTTAAAAGACCTCTCTGACCATAGGTTGAAGAGTAGACTAGTGGGGAGAAAACCAGCAGTGATCTAGATGAAACGTAGTGGTGGCTTAAAATAGGAAGACTAGCTGGGCTGGTGGTTCAGGCCTGTAATCCCAGCACTTTAGGAGGTTGAGGCGGGTGGATCACGAAGTCAGGAGATCAAGACCATCCTGGGTAACACGGTGAAACCCCATCTCTACTGAAAATACAAAAATTTAGCCGGGCGTGGTGGCGGGCGCCTGTAATCCCAGCTACTCCAGAGGCTGAGGCAGGGGATTGCTTGAACCCAGGAGGCAGAGGTTGCAGTGAGCTGAGATTGTGCCACTGCACTCCAGCTTGGGTGACAGAAAGAG